>NC_000006.12:161737456-161888971 GCF_000001405.40 Homo sapiens
ACAAGGGAAATAAAGTGTGGATAGAAATAAGTACGAAAAGAATTATAAGATCTAATATGATCACATTTTTGAGCTTCACATTATGGCATTCAATGCTGTATGTGCCTGAAATATATTAACTCAATAAAACCTTACACTAACCCTTTGAAGTAGGCTCTGTTATTATTCCCATTTGAAAACTGTGGTAAGTGAAGCCCAGCAAGATTACAGAGCTACTGAGTGGCAGGGCCTTGGACTGTAAAGCAAAACTGCCTAGAACAAAGCCATGACCATACCAGATGACTCCATAAACATGGCAGGAAACACAGAAGCCAGGGCGAGATGGCACTCAAAAAGCAATCGCTGTTCAGGGCAGGATGCGATTTCTGGCTAGTTACATAAGGCTGATCAAGAAGAAGTGGGCTCAAGTTTCAGAACACTCTGCATTACATCCAGCGTATCACATATTACATCCCGTTTAACTCACTGAACCACTATTACCATTTGGAAAGATTCTATCTGCATTCCTCCAAAATAATAGTTTGGAAAAGTTCATTTAACGAGCCCTCCTATTTGAACCTGGCCTGCCTTGATTGATAAGACTTCAATATCAAATGTAGCAGCCTTGAGTTTTGACTCTCGTTCAAAAGTGAGTTTCAAAAGTAGATTTTTCTTAAAAATGCAGATGATTTCCTCTTCTTTATTTTACTATTTTTCTATAAATAGTAAAATATACTTTCATTTCTCTGAAAAGTAACACCAAAGCTTCACCTATAAGAATAACTTATTACTGAATTGGTGTCTTTCTCAGGAATTTAATCCAGGGGAAAACACCTTTGTCACTCGAAGGTGTATTCAAGCCAACAGACGATTCTAGCATCGGATGTCAGGAAGGACCAGGGGTGCTCCCGTCATCTTTAAAATCTTCCATTCTGCCCTCCATCTTCTGAATTCACATTTCATGTCCTCTATCTTAGTGGTGAGAGGCTTAGCTTTTATAAACGTGAAAAGTCACTGAAATGGACCTAATATTGAAGGAAAGGAAGTAACATGACATTATTGTCTTTAAGGTAACATAGCAAAGGGTAAAATGTGTCCCTGAGTAATCAAAGCACAGGCACCACAGGCTCCCCGTGCCACCAGCTCCCACACACGCAGATGCTGGAGAGGCATGGCTTTGAACCTGGTACCAAGTAGGGTAGATGACAACTAGTGTGTGTGGTCACCAGGTGTAGAGGCTGCTCCCCGAAACCCTGGGTGCAGTCACCACTGATGGGTTCTACATCCGTCTTAGACCTGCAGGTGGGGGTCCAGCATCAGGCTGGCTGGAGCCTGCAACCACCTACTTAAATCAGAAGTCAAATGTGAGTGCTGGCCACAGTGATATTCTATTGACCATAAATCTGCCTGAGGTTCATCCTGCTGAGGCCTACACAGGCATCTACACTAGAGCATCTAATAATTTCACTAAGTGTTAGAGAACTGACAAAAAATAATAATAAGGCAAACTGTGGGAAACAGGTATACAGTTTTTGTGAGATAAGATGATGTGGGTTACTGGTCAAAGCCCCTACTGGAAATAAGAAGATATTGATATGCCAGGATCCTCTTAACGTGATTTAAGCTAACTCATTTGACTTCACTGGATCCGTATTTTCTCCATTGTATATTAAGTGGAGAGGGGCAGGGCGGCCAGGTGCAGTGGCTCACACCTGTAATCCCAGCACTTGGGGAGGCCAAGGTGGGAGGATCACTTGAGGTCAGGAGTTCAAGACCAGTCTGGCCAACATGGCAAGATCCCATCTCTACCAAAAACATAAAAATTCACCAGGTATGGTGGCGTATGCATGTAATCCCAGCTACCAGGGTGGCTGAGGTGGGAGAATCGCTGGAACCTGGGAGATGGAGGTTGCGGTGAGCTGAAATTGCACCACTGCACTCCAGCCTGGGCGACAGCGAGACTATGCCTAAAAATAAATAAATTAATTAAATTAAAACAAGCAGGAGATGCACTATTTTAAGTGCCTTTTATTCATAAAATTTAAAAAACGTATTTGCAATATAAAAACTGAAGAGGTGTAATAGCTATTCATACTTACGTGTATAATCGGATTAGTCGGGAAGAGTCGGCATGAGGTGTTTAAATTCTCTCACCATCAACATTTCCTTTCACTACTTTTCCAAACTGCTACACTTGAAAGATGTTTGCCAAATAAACCGTATTTCAGCAATTTTCTTTTTCTTCCTTTTTTCCTTTCCTTTCTCTCTGTACCTCTGTCTTTTTTTAACTCAAAGACACATGTAACAATTTTTTTTCTTGTTTCTTTTCTTTTTTTTGAGACGGAGTCTTGCTCTGTCCTGCAGGCTGGAGTGCAGTGGCACGATTTCTACTCACTCCAACCTCCACCTCCCGGGTTCAAGCGATTTTCCTACCTCAGCCTCCTGAGTAGCTGAGATTACAGGTGCACACCACCACGCCCAGCTAGTTTTTGTATTTTTAGTAAAGACAGGGTTTCTCCATGTTGGCCCGGCTGGTCTCGAACTCCTGACCTCAGGTGATCTGCCCAGCTCGTCCTCCCAAAGTGCTGGGATTACAGGCCTGAGCCACTGCGCCCGGCCAACACATGTAACTATTAATGAGGACTTCAGATCAGCCTGAGTTAACCAATGTTATCAAACGAGTTGATACAATTTCTGCCCAAAGCGACTTGACATTTCAATTAAATTGTGCAGCCTTTTCAAAGGAAAAGATATACTTTCCTTTAAGTGCTTTTGAAATATTAAAAATAGCACCTGGATGCCCATGATTAATTTTATGGATCCTCGAATGGGAGCTATGCATACGCACTTTGTCCCTTTGAACCTAAGGATGTTATTGTCCTCGTCTATATCAACTACGTACACAAAGGTTCACCCCTGCATTTCCTGAGGCCTGGACCCCATTTCCACAGCTCGTTACTGCTACTTGCCCTACCTGTTTCACTGGGACTGCAGGGCTCTTTTACCTGTGACTTCCTGCCTCAGTTTACCCCAGGCAGTCTCTAATCACTTGATCCAGACAGATATGCCTCTGGGCCAGCACTGCTCCCATGTAGGTGGCCTCCCTCGGTCCCACGTCCTCCAGTGATAATTCTGAATGGGCCGTTTGCAACATTGATGAACACATTTAGAAACCGGATGTGGTAGTTGAATCAAGTTCGGGTTTTACAACTGTAATGAACGGCTGACACTTGGGCAGGCAGCTTTGCCATAGACAGGTGTGGAACAGGCAGTGAGCCCAAGCTTTGCAGCTGATTCAGTGCAGAGTCTCACATCAAGACCTTTGACTTGTTGGTCATTAAGGAATTTATCAGGGCAATAACTTTTAGTAAAACAGTGAAGAAGAAAGTCTATCAAAAAACAAACAGTAGGCCCGTGTGGTGGAGAAACCACAAGCTAGGTTTCATTCTGATCCAAGGAACAGGTGGGCTTTCCCTATGCACAAAATTGTCTCACTCCCTGGACTGAATTGATGGTCCAGAGGCTTTAAAATACTCACGGACCTAGCTTAAGAATAACTGGGTAAATTTACAAATAATTGACAACTACTCTGTAAGGGCCAGAATTAACCCAAAGAAACACATTTGCTAGTGTGTCCACAGCCATACATTTGCATTCTTAATTCAGCCTATTCTCCTGGGTTCACGCTGAGTCCAACTTTTGACATCGTCCTTGCAGTCATTCATGCAACTCTGTCTATCTACTCTAAAAAGCTGAAGGGCATCTGTCAGCTAATGAGACAATTTCTCCAACAGCTGGTACTCATGTGAGGGTAATTCCGTGGATTTATTCAGTGGTCATGCCATCTAATAGTTTCTCCGAGGACCTGATTCAAAGCCCTCAAAATTGAAGTGTGGGAACAGAAGCATAAGAGTAACAAGACACTCGATGAGACAAATCTCAGAGGCAGGGCAAGGAAACTGAACGGAGTTGACACCAAGGCCGAAGGTGGCTGCCTTGTACCGGACGGGGAATCCGAGGATCAAAGTATCTTGTGGCAAAGTCTCCCTGGGGATAGTGTCTGTGTGCCCTAGAGCATCACATCAGGGGGCCTCTGTCTTTCCAGAAAGGCAGTCAGGTTCTTCATCCTTCAGACACGATCCCCACTGACCTGGGAGAAATGCTTGTCCCAGTATCAGCCCCATGGATGAGGCCTGGGCAGTAAACACACCACGAGGGTTCAAACTGGTCTGGGGTGATCCTCTGTTGAATACACAAGCAGATTGATTGCATTCAACCTCTTTGTCTCGGGAAGGACGTTACTTACACCATCCCAAATTAATAAGAACTATCCTCCAAATAACTCCCATGTGATATGGTTTGGCTGTGTCCCCACCCAAATCTCATTGTGAATTGTAATAATCCCCACATGTTAAGGGCGGGCCCAGTGGAGATAATTGAATCATGGGGGTGGTTTCCCCCATACTGTTCTCATGGTAGTGAATAAGTCTCATGAGATCTGATGGGATTTATTTATTTATTTATTTATTTATTTATTTATTTATTTATTTTGAGACGGAGTCTTGCTCTTGTCACCGAGGCTGGAGTGCAGTGGCACGATCTTGGCACGCTGCAACCTCCGCCTCCGAGGCTCAAGTGATTCTCCTGCCTCAGCCTCCTGAGTACCCGGGATTACAGGCGTGCACCACCATTCCCAGCTAATTTTTGTATTTTTAGTAGAGACGGGATTTTACCATGTTGGCCAGGCTGGTCTCGAACTCCTGACCTCAGGTGATTCACCCATCTCAGCCTCCCAAAGTGCTGGGATTACAGGCATGAGCCACTGCGCCCAGCCCTGATGGTTTTGGGAGTTCCCCTGCACAAGCTCTCTCTTGCCAGCTGTCATGTAAGATGCGTCTTGCTTCCCCTTTGCTTTCTGCCATGATTGTGAGGCTTCTCCAGCCATGTGGAACGGTGAGTCAATTAAACCTCTTTCCTTTATAAATAAGGGAAAATCCTGGGTATGTCTTTATTAGCAGCATGAGAACAGACTAATACACTGGAATATTTGAGAATCTTCATGACGCTTTCAAAACAATATTTTAGTCATCTGCCCTGAAACACCTCCAGGGTCTTCCCATGTGCATTGTGGAAAGCAAGAACTGGTTGCTCTCCTTGATGAAGCTCTCACATATGCAAGGACATTTCAGGCTCAAAGTGTCCACAGTTATTGCCTTGCTCATCCCCTTCACTTTTTTGAAGAGAAAACAGAAGTGATAAAGAAAGCTAGTTTTTATGGAGCCTCTCTAATCACGCCAGGCATTTTCACAAGTTAGCTCATTGGATTCTCACAGCCGCGCAGAGTAGCACCATGGCATTTTGACAGAGGAGGAGGCAAAACCTGGACCACACAGCTGGTGAATGCCCACAGAGGGGTGGCGCCCCCTCATCTGACAACCAGGCCCACCCTTTCTCTGAAGGCCGCAGAGGTTGAGAGAGAAGAGTCCAGGTTTCCAATCCAACCTGGTTCCTGGTCTTTCCTGCTTCTGATAGAGAATATTTAGTTTAAGATTCTCTAAGCTATATCTGAAGACTGTAATACTCTAAGAAGCATCAGTCCCTCATTGCCTTCATAATAAAACTTGTTTTCCCTAAGTTTCAACTTATTGGCTGAAATGAATTTTTTTTTCCCCACAGATTAGATTTGGAATGAATATTTTACAATGTGGAAATTATTCTTCCTGCTGTTCTGCCCTGGCACTCCCAACCTCTCCTTGCCTGTCTATACTGGTTTCTACCTTTTTTTTTTTTTTTTTTTTTTTTTTGAGACGGAGTCTCTCTGTCGCCCAGGCTGGAGTGCAGTGGTGCAATCTCGGCTCACTGCAAGCTCCGCCTCCCGGGTTCATGCCATTCTCCTGCCTCAGCCTCCCGAGCAGCTGGGACTACAGGCGCCCGCCACCACATCCAGCTTTTTTATTTATTTATTTATTTATTTATTTATTTATTTTGTATTTTTAGTAGAGATGGGGTTTCACCACGTTAGCCAGAATGGTCTCGATCTCCTGACCTTGTGATCCGCCTGCCTCGGCCTCCCAAAGTGCTGGGATTACAGGCACGAGCCACTGCGCCTGGACTTGGTTTCTATCTTATCTCACAATGATCACCACCCTCCAACCCAACATATAATTCACGTCCATCCCTTTGTCCTCCGCCCCCACTTGCGTAAGTCCCTGCAAGGCCGGGAGTGAGCTCTCCCTAGAACACTGCCGGGCACACCGTGAGCCCCGAGGAAGGCCTCACTCTGATAACTTACAACAAAGGGAACTTTTGAGGGGAAGTACATGCATATGTTAATGAGTATAGCCAACAGTATCATTCTATATTGTATACATTCTGGGCACCAATTCTGACAAAATAAATCATCGAGAAGTCTGGTCAATTCTGTTGGAGGCTTGCCCTATGGTCCCTGAATATAATTCTTACGTGCCTGTGCTTTTCAGGGCTGCGTCTTTGCTAGAAACAAGTGATTACCAAACTGTTCCACGGAGCCCTGGGGTTTTTCTCGTGACTTCGGGGGCCTCTGAGAGGGACAGCTAGGGCAGCACCTGATTCATCCACTTGGGTATATGTGGTTTCTGCTTCAGAGATCATAGAAGAGTAGAGCTCATGGATTTTTATATGTATGAATATGTTTTTTAAAAGCCAACTATAAATATTCACTCTATAACTCAGCTTAACAAAAGTCTATTTTGCTAATTATTTACTGTTTTTTTTTCTTTTTTTTTTCAAACTGGGTATAATGCTCCTCAAATTGGGAAACTTTCAGATCTCCAAATTACAGTTTCCAAATAACCATACATGCAGCACAGATGTGAACAGTGGGTCCAAAATAAGCACCTTAGATTAAGCCACACGATGAATCACTTCGCTTTCAAAAACAATAAAAGCCAGAGGCCATGTTGCACATGGCACAGAGAAGCAACAGAGTCCATTTCTGTAATAAGCATGACCCCTCACTGAATGCTTGCTATGGGAGATGTGTGCCTCCTGCTGTGCGGGCTGGTTCCCAACAGGCCATGAACCAGCACCGGTTGCTCCATGGCCCAGGGCTTCGAGATCCCTGCCCTAGAGACTATATTAATGAATTAGGAATAACATTAACATTCCTAATAATAGGAGATGATGACTAGGAGGTGGATTAACATGGTCAAGGACCCAAAGCTGGAAGATCCCCCAGGCAGCATTGACTCGTGGTCTATTCCTTCACTGTACTGACGCTCCTAGCTTCGAGAATGATGCATGGGCAGGCCTGTTCCATTAACGTTTTGTCAAGTGACTAAATGAAACATAAGTTCAAGAAGGCACCTTCCACCAGAGATGCTGGCTCAGAGATTAACAAAAGCCACATCAACGGCATTTGGAATCACTCATTTAATTACGGTGATAGATGCCAGCAGCAGCTCCCATTATTACCACATGCTTACCATTGCCAGACACTACTCGAAGCACTCAATTGTCTTAAATGGCTCTAAAAGGTCAATATTAGCGTTATGTCCACTTGGTAGATGAGAAAGCAGAGGTACAGAAAAGCTTTAAAATGTGCCTATGTTTTCACAGCTGTAAGCAATGGAGCAGGATTGGAACGTAGGCAGTTTTACTCTAGAGCTCAGATTTTTAATGCTGAGCTCTGATTTTAAAACTTACAGGACTATGAAGCCATTACCTATAATATAGAAGTTACATTAGATCTGGTTCTTCCCTTAAAAGAGTTTCTGATCTAATCAGGGAGGCATGAAATAATAACATAAAATAAAATAAGATATTACTCTGTACATGTTTCCAGAGGGGGCCCTCAGTGTGGACAGGTGAAGTCAGGGCAGGCTTCCTGGAGGTGGTGGCCTTGCCAGAGCCTTGGAGTAGTTCTGAGCAAGGCTGAAAGCATTTCCTAACAGGGGAACCCAGGAGTCATGGGGTCATGGAAAGGGAGTCTTTTCAGAGGATGCTGACCTAACCAGGCGACAAGGAGAGATGCAAGAAGAAAAGCAGGATACAAAGTGTTCAGCTTTATGGCCAAGAGCAAGCATGCCACACCTGCGACCAGGGGCACCAAGCAACCTGGGGTCAGGATGCATGCTTTCTCTTGCTGTTGGAACGTGAATATCTTGTAGGCAGTTTGTATACTCTCCAGTTGACCCCTAAGGACAGCAAACAATTAACACCCTATTTAAAGGCTAGAATATAGGAAAAGGAGGATCTGAAATCCAGTAGACTTTCCAGATAAGAGAGGAGACCCTGGGAAGGCAGACGGCAAGGGGAGGATTCCAGGTGGGATCAAAGCTGAGCAAATGTCTGATGTCTCTAACAGCCCGACTGGAAGAACAAGTGACCAGTATTTTCCAGTCAATTAGACACAAAGCATGATTGTTGCAGCCTGGTGTGTATTCAATTAGGACTGTAATATGATGAAGCTAAGAACAGATTATTTTGCAGACTTTCTTGTGTCTGTGCCTGAGAGCTTGCTCAGAGGATCCTGGGTGACAGCTCTCTGTGGGGGCCTGTGGCCAGGAGGGGAGACGAGGCCTCATCGTGGCATTTTCAGGGCTGAAATGCCAAAACAAAATGCTCACATTCGTTAGGAACCTCCTATGATCCAGGCAGGTTTGTGGGTACAGCACAAGTCTCTCCATGAATTAGGCAAAATTATCCCCCTTGCACTAATGAAATAAGGGCCTGGGTGCCCGAGTAATTTCCTAAAGTGAAACTAAGATGTAAATACAAGTCTCTCTGTTGCCAAAACCCAGGACCTTTTCATTGTGCCACACTGCCTTCTGTGTGTGCTCTGATGAAGAGCTTTTGTAGGTGTTCTTCAAGATGGAACTGAAAATTGAGTAAGACTTCCCAGAGACCCAGCTGTGGGGGACTATCCGCAGATGGAGACCCTGGGCTAAAGAGGCAAACTCTTATTTTATAAGTAGGGGCTAATTGGCTGGGTCTAAGTCCAGAATCCCCCCAGCTGTTATCCCCAAGCCTAATGCTCAAACAGACACATACAAAAAAAGACAAGTCAACAAGAACGGAGAAAAATCAACCCAGAAAACAAAAAAAGCTGTAATAGTTGGGTAAGGTACATTTATCTATTTTTTTATATATATATATTTATATATATATATATACACACACACATTATACACACACATACATAGATATATACACATATATGTATATATGTATATATCTATATAGATATATATGTATATCTATAGATATATCTATATAGGTATATGTATATATGTATATATAGATATATATGTCTATATCTAGATTCTAGATATGCACATATATATCTATATAGATATATATGTCTATATCTAGAATCTAGATATGCACAGACATATATATCTATGTATATGTCTATATATGTATATATCTATATGTATGTATCTATATATCTACGTATATATCTATATCTATATATCTATGTATGTATGTATAATACTGAAGCTGTCATGTGACTACCCTAGCAAAGATCTTATCCACAAATATAATTATAATTATAAATGCCCAATTATCTGTTGAGATATCAGCTCATGATCATCTTATTGTAGAAACGTTTTCGATTGATTTTCAAGCATTCATAAGCATTGGCTGAGAGACTGCGGTCTGTAAAGCACTGGCAGAATACAAATGCTTGTTGAGTCAACGGGCATTTATTGAGCATGTATTATGTGCTGGTCTTTGAAGACTGAAAATTTAAAAAACAAGGCCCCTGTCCTATAATATAACCTATTGCTTGGAATGGAGTTTTAAAAACCATGCCAAGGAGAAATTGTCATCAATGCCTCCTTCCTCTCTTTGGAGATTTCTGTGACAGGGTAATGAAAATTATAATCACTTTAGATATCAACCTACTTGCCTAAAGAGAAACTAAAGAGAAATTGTCCTGAATTCACATAAACCAAGGTAATGGAAGTGATATGTTTCTCTTTTTTTTTTTTCTCATCAGAAAACTGATTATTTTAAACAAATTGCAGAGAAAGAGAGAGAGAGGATGAGATGAAGGAAATGTATTGACTTCAGAGTTGACTCATGAACTGTCATAGTATAAGAAACTGCATGAAATTCTGTAGTGCAGCCAAATATTAATTGAAACAATTAACTGTAGAAAACACGTGGGCACGACAATATTAGCAGTGCATAATCATTTGTAGTTAAGAGGTCCTTACCGGATTACTGCAGAAAAGCTCTGGAGTTCTAATTACTTGTGGAAGTCCCACAAGGTTACTGCAAAACATGGTAATTAGACGGTTGTAATATAAGGTGTTAGCAGGGGATTGAGGATTTGCTCTAAGCACCTTGGTGTTTTCGTGGCTATTTACTGAGCAGAGTACCAGAATTTAATGGAATTTGGTAGAATTCTCCAATGACTCCTATGAGCACGTAGTTAACAAACGTATCTTAATGTGAGTTCCATGGTTTTCTTGAAAGTGATGAACATCGCCATCTTTAACTACTATAAGGAGAAAATATAACCTAAATGAGGTGGATTATGTGGATTTATTTTTGGGATTTATTGCTCTTGTCTTTCGGTGGCATTTGAGTCAGGTGTATTACACAGCTTTGAGATCTTGGCTTCACTAGGCATAACCCAGCATTAGAAAGGAAGTAGCTTGGTGCTTCTCTGCAACTCCAGCTCAGACTTCTGTGTGACAGTCCTTTTTTACAACAGAATTGGGACATCGCTGCATACGTTTTTCTCAGCTTTGAGGATGCTTCTACAACCCATGCATGCACAATGAAAGAAATATTATACATTTAGTGATGGGCACAATGTACTTATTCAAAAATGTCAGTAAATATAAAAGATTTATCAGGTGAGTGAAGGAGACACGTCTTTTTTTTTTCTTTCTCCTTTTTGCTGATCCCGAATCACTCTCTTACGTTTTTTTTTTGTCTGTGTACCACAAATGTGTACCTAAAAATGAAACTCAGACTATAAACTGCCCTAAGCTCCCAGAGTAGAAAGCATGAAACTAATCTAAAGAAAATATTGGCAGAACTCCCACCCGCGCTTTGATTTTGGCTCAGAAAATCACCTCCTCCTTCTATAGGGTCTGGTTCGCCTCCGACAGCAGAATCAGGGGCAGATTCCATCAGTCCATGGAAATGGGGTTCCTGGAAGTAACACTGGCTTTCTCATCTTGGTCCAGGCAAGGGGCACTTGTCGGGTCACTGACAAAGGCATTCATTAAGAGTCAGTTATTTTCTGCAGGTGCCTTTAGTGAGACAACAGTGAGAAGGGGCACTTGGGAAGACGCGGGGAGTGTATGGAGAGCCATACCCCACTGCTTCTTTGGGGTTCCAAACCTCTAAGAGAATTTCCCTTATGCTTTAGCTGTTGAGAATTGAAAGTCTCCTTTCAAACATTTAAGCAGAGCAAGAGGGGATAGCTGCTTTGCTACAGTTACCTGTTAGTCAAAAGCTTAAAGGAGAAATTCCCTTGCCTGTCATGTGTATTCCACAACGCATGAAAAGACCAGACAAAGCGAAACAAAACAAACCAACCCGCCGCCAGGGGGCAGCTGGGAAACATTTCGAAGGGCTGGGAGAGATGGAAGGTTGGCAAAACCAAGGGGAGGGGGTCCTTGTACTTGGTGAACAGATGACTCTCTATAGTAAGGATTCAGGGCCGGGAGGCGGGCAAGCAGGTACGCCTAAGCTTCTTGTGTTGCTAACCCCCTCCGGGTCTACCCCAGTTAGCAATGTCTACTGGGACCTAGAGGGGCGCAGCTTCGCCTATTTCTCTGACAAGACTGTAACATCTTGGAAGGGAGAAGCTGTGTCACATCTATCTTTGTAAGCCACAGAGCAACGAGCAAAGTGCTGAGTACATATATATACATGCATGCATATATGTGCATATGTACGCACATACACATGTATGTGTATAATCGTATACCTTACATATAAATCTATAATTATGCATCATCTGTATCTGTTAAGTTATACATCATTTTAGTGCTTTTATGGAGGAAGGAAAGTAATTTGCAGGATCAATTTCTATGCAGAAGTGATTCCTGGTACAGATTTTAATGCATTAAATTTTCACAAAGTCTTCAACTCCAGCAATTTAAGTTTTATCAAGGGCCCTGGGTTTTGCTGGCTCTCTTCACCTGTACCTCTTATCATTAAGAGGGAAAAAGAAAAATATCCTTTCCTGTAGCCCCATGGTACACTGCAAACCCCTCTGAGAAGCTGTAATGAGCTGGGGAAGCTGTAGTGGGGAGGAGGGGAAAGGCTCTGTAATCCCTCGGCCTCGGGGCTGACATGGGGCACATCAGGACTCCCCTGGCGAGGCTCTGTCACTTGACAAACTTGTGTAGTTGGAGCCATAAATTCTCCTTGTACTCCGTTGCTCCCCACCCACATTCACCCTGCACCTCTCACCTACAAGAAGTGACAGTCAGAGTACTTTAAAAAACAACAAAAACTCAACAGATTTTATCCTTTGTAAAAGCCTACCATTTCCACATTTGTCTAAAATGCTGATTTTATAGTCCTCTGTGTTTGCATTGCGTTTGTTATGAGAACTAACTCCTTTATATAGGAATAGCCCAGTTGAAGCAATACCACTTGACTGGATATTTTCAATTCATAGGATATTAATGGATATAGCACACATAGGACATATATATATATATATATATACACACACACACACACACACACACATATATAAATTAGTACAAAATTGTTTTGCCTCCTAACTTGCAAGGCCTGTAAACCCATTCTTTTTTCTTTTTACATAGATATGTTGAGATTTTTACATCTTGGCAAAATATAGGCTGTAATTTAATTGACTTAGCAACACTACCAAATAAAACACTTATTCCCAAGGGAAATTTCTTTCCACACTTTCTGCTGGAACTTCTAATTGACATCTATTTCTGAATAATTGTTGAAACTAATGTGTTGGAAGGGCTGGTGATCTCAAATAGCTATAAATGAGGCATCATGGCATGTTTTTTTCTTCCTGACAAATCCATAAGTGAATAAATATTTTAAGTCAGTATTGGCCAGGTGTGGTGGCTCATACTTGTAATCCCAGCACTTGGGGAGGCCGAGGCGGGTGGATCACTTGAGATCAGGAGGTTGAGACCGGCCTGACCAACATGGTGAAAACCCGTCTCTACTAAAAGTACAAAAGTAGACAGGCATGGTGGCACATGCCTGTAATCCCAGCTACTAGGGAGGCTGAGGCAGGAGAATTGCTTGAACCCAGGAGGCAGAGGTTGCAGTGAGCCGAGATCACACCACTGCACTCCAGCCTGGGCAACAAGTGTGAAACTCTTGTCTCAAAAAAAAAAAAAAAAGTATTAAAAATTCTGTCCACGGAATTGATTTAATAGATGAATCAATAAGTCTGGTATGACCATCATAGAGCAAGCAGATAAGGCTCTAGGTACAACAAATATATAATTGTATTAGTCATCGAAAAGGAATGCAATATATTTCACTAGTCAGAGAAATAGCAATGTGGAATAGAAAGAAAATATGTAAAAACTGATGGACTTTTATTTGAAATTTGGTTGAACATTAACTGTGGTTCTCCCTAAATATCATATACATTTTCTTTCACTTCATTGGTGATGAGCCATTAATATCATAAATAATACATACTGGTAGAATGAGTAAAAAAAAGTTCAGTAGAACCAATTAACAAACAATGTAAAACATGTAGATTTAGAATACCTGTCATTTACTCAGGTCTACCTTTTTGCCCAAATTTCATAATTCTCCTATCTTGGTCAACATCTACAAGGACAAGATGAATAAATCTCTCTCTGTGTGTAGAACATCGTCTGTTTGGTTTCCTCCAAGTAGAAAGCCAGGAATGATTCTTCCTTCACATTTCCTATCAATCATAATTCTATCAGCCAGCTGAATAGCTTGGTACACTCAGCGCCTATCAAATATTAAAGCCTTCCCATTCTTGAAATTCACATAATAGCTTGGTTTGTTATCTTGCACTAAATCTGTACTACATTACACATTTATGATTACCTGTAAATTTCACACTGATATTTAAGTTGTAAAATATGTTGATGCCTTTAAAAGTGTGTGAGAACATAAAATTACACAATCATAAAGTAAGTTAAAAATTACGGCAGCATAAATACTAAAGTCCAAATTCTTGTCTTACATAATCCAAGTGATAATTGTTGTGCTCTTACTCTGTGGCTGAGGACACTGTGACAAGCATGGAGAATTCAGCTGTGAGCCAGATTACACGATCCCTGCCTTCTGGGAGATGATACCAAATAAACTCACCAATGAATAAGTATCGCAAATTATTACGTGGGGTATAAAGAAAACAAAGAGGAAGCTGTGACCAGGTACCAGGCTTATGGTATGGGACTTTTCAAAGCCAAGCCTTGAAGGATGAGAAGGAGCTATGCACACAGCAGGTGAAGGAGAAGGGGCAGTGAACTGGCTGGAGAAGAGCAGGTGCAAAGGCCCTGCACGGGAAGGTGGTTCAGCATCTGCAGGATTAGCGAGGAGGCCTGTACAACTGCCACAGGGCAGGCAAGGGAAGGAGAGATATGAAAGGAACCTGCGGAACATTATGGAGAATATTATGAAGAATTTGTATTTTTCCTAAGGAATCCGTTTTGGGACAGGGAACTGATTTAATTTACATTTTTGAAAAACCCTCTCAGGAGGCTGAGGTGGGTGGATCACGAGGTCAAGAGATCGAGACCATCCTGGCCAACGTGGTGAAACCCTGTCTCTACTAAAAATACAAAAACTAGCTGGGTGTGATAGCACGTGCCTGTAGTCCCAGCTACTCGAGAGGCTGAGGCAGGAGAATTGCTTGAACTCAGGGCAGAGGCTGCAGTGAGCCGAGATCGCGCCACTGCACTCTAGCCTGGTGACAGAGCGAGACTCTGTCTCAAACAAACAAAAAAACAAAACAAAACAAACAAAAAACTCGCTCAAGGTTGGGTGCAGCAGCTCATGCCAGTAATCCCAGCACTTTGGGAGGCTGAGGCTGGCTAATGACCTGAGCCCAAAAGTTCAAGACCAGCTGAGGCAATATGGGGAAACCCCGTCTGCATAAAAATATAACAATTAGCTGGGTGCATTGGTGCGCACCTGTAGTCCCAGATACTCAGGAGGCTGAGGTGGGAGGACTGCTCAAGCCTGGAAGGTCAAGGCTGCAGTGAGCTATGATCATGCCACTATATTCCAGCCTGGGTAACACAGCAAGACCCCGTCTCAAACAAACAAACAAAAAACATGCTGGCTTTTGTGTCGCAAATGGATTGTAGTATATCCAAGAAAGGAAGTAGAGAGATCATTTAGTAGACTTTTACGCAAGTTCAGTAAACAGATACTAGAGGCTTGGACTAGAGTGGTGGCCCAAAGACAGAGGGTAATGAAAATATTCCAGGTACTTTGGGAGCAGGAATCAACAGAAATTGGTGATGGGTTATCAGGGGCATCAGGAAGGGAGGGACAGAGAATGGCATCAGTATGGGCAGTGGTAACGCTTGTGTGAGGAACAGTGTCAGAGGAACAGGTGTAAAGGGTGTGTGGGTTATGGTGCGGTTAGAATCAAGACCGACTTGGAAACAAGCTAAGTTTGAGATGCCTTTGAGAATCCAAGTGGAGTTTTCAAGGAGTCAGTTTACCATGAAATTCAGAAGTTCTGCAGAGAGTTCAGGAGATAAGACATAAATTTAGAAGTCATGAGTAGGTAAATGATATTAAAGTAATGCTGATGAAGAGTTGCATGATAGTTGTCTGGGAGTGAGAAGTCTGGTTGGGGAGGAGAAGCTAATAAAGGAGACAGAAGGAGCCACCACCGAGGGAGAAGGAACACAGAGAGGGCATGGAGATCTGGAAGCCCATAGTAAGCACGCAGTGAGGATTAGTGTTACTATCATTTGGCATTAAATTGTCTTATCCAGTGGAATATCCCAGTGGGATGGAGGGGAAAAAAGCCAGGTTGGAAAGAGAGAAGAAGGAATGGGAGGCAAGTCAGTGGGGACAACATATGGCAACCACTCTTAGAAGCAGTACGAAGAAGGATAAAAAATTCTGCGGAGGGGGATAAGAGGTTTATGGGTGGACTTTTGTTTGCTGTTCAGTTATTGACTGGCTGAGCATGGGAGAGGAGAGCATGTTTGTAGGATGTAGGAGATGAAGCAGGGAGGGAGGGCCCATGAAACCTAGAGTGCAGATGACTCAAGAGCCAACCCCGAGTGGGGGAGCCCAAGCCCAATGGGGGCGGGGGGGCTCGGCTTGGAGCAAGGCCAATTCTCTCCTGGTAATGGGAACACAAGTGCCAGAGAAGGATGCAAATGGCAAGGAGGTTGAGACTGGGTTGTGAGGCAATGAGAAAGGTCCCTTCTGATAGTTTCTACTTTATCATTTTACATTTTAAAAAGATGTGTGCAGTGCAGCCATGGAGTAAGGGAGGGAGAGCAGAGGAGAGGTTAGGAAAGGTCAGAGGGTAAGCTATGAAGAGCTGCATAGGAGCACGGGAAATCCAGCAGCCAGAGAAGAGGAGGACGATCCCAGACGGTGCCCAGTGTGTATCTGCGGAGGAATTTAAAGTAAAATGGGTGAGCCCAGTTGTGTAATTATCTCCAGCTCTGCAAAGTGGACATTCATGTGGGGTTCAGATTGGCCACTGGAATGGAGGCAGGATTTCTAGGGGAGAGAAAGCCTCAACAGCTTACAGGGAAGGCCTGGCAGACCCAATGTTGCATGACAAGGAGGAAGAGTAGGCGGGTGAGACAAATGACCTGAAGCTCACAGCAGGCCATGCTCAGGAGGAACGTGCTGATCTCAAAGAGAAAAGTGTGGGCTGAGAGGACACCAGCTTGACTCCGAGGGCCTAGGAGATGTGGAGAGGGAGGGGCAAGCAGAGGAAGGGGTTTCCTTGAGAGACGACCTGGTTCCGGAGAAGTTCCTGCAGCAAAAACACGCGGGGCATCCAGGGAAGTGCACGGGCCATGGCGGAGGCTGTCCGAGGGGTGGGGACACGAGGGCCATGAGGTGGGTGCTTGTGGGAGGCTGCGGTGCGTGATTAGCAGCAGGTGAGAGTAGAGAAGACAGCGGAATTGAAGACAACTGGGAGCTAAGACTGGAGGGTCCCTGCGGCCTCTCAGAGGGATGGGGGCTGAGCCCTCCCATGGTCAGGTCACAGGCCCTGCAGGTGCTGGGGGCCAACTCACATCCCTTTTCTTCCCTCTCCCTTAGGGTCTCACCACTTCCGTGCAAAGATGACAAATATTGTGTAAACGAATATTCAATATCCCTAACATTCACAATATTCCTCATATCTAGCTCACATACTTTAGATCCTCAAATTCCTATTTTAAACAAAAATGCAACTGTCGTGGTGCCAGATGATGGCATTTAGCCTCTTTAGTGTGTTACAGAATCTTTTCCTGAGACACTTAGGAAAGCACAAACTTTTTCACCCAAACAATGTTGAAGATGGCAGAGCCTGGTTTGAGAATCCCCACTCAGGGGGAGAAATAGTCCCAGGGTGCCAGTATCCAGAGAGCTGACCTACCAGGGAAAGTGCTTATGTTTCTTTCAGGATAGGCAGTATGGCAAACAAAGTCCCAAACACATCAATATGTCATTGATCACTTGACCCAACTTAAATTTTTTATTCCTTTGTTCATTGATAACATTGCATACCCATAGCGTGTGACAGTTTTCTCAGGGGCTGAGGATGCAGCCACAGACAAGCCCAGCTTCTTGCCAGTAGGGGAGGTGCATGACAGAAAGCGTTTTGATTCTTTTTATCATCCATACTCTCTGCAATGATTCTCACAGACAACGCACTCTCCCAACATACTGCACCCACGTGACAGTGGGAGCAGCCTCCCTACACTATCTCCATAACTCTGCTTGGTGACCTCTCAGATGACAGTAAACATCATCACTCCCAGATAGTTCTGAAATTGTCATGTTGGAAAGTACTTGATAACTGTTAACACAAAAGGGACTCAGTAATATCGAAGGGTTATGGATATATATTCCTATTATGTGAAAAATACATATCTTGCATTCCTAGCAGACAGTAGTAGGTTATTGCTGGTACTTTCATATGTTGGGGGGAAAAACATGTACTTAAAACAGTGCCTCGACTACGGCAAGCAGAATTGAAATTATGATGATGATAATGATGAAAATAACATTACTTTCATTATGAAACAGTGCAAAATGGATAGTAGACAAACACTATCCGTAATTCAATGTGGATAATTCAACGTGAAGACACTGGAAGTAAAACAATACTTTGAGGATCCAGAACTTCCTCATTTCACATTCTGTTAATCAGGGTTGACGTGTGCTGTTGGCTGGCTGTCTTCATGTCAGCCAGATCATCAAGAATGTCTTATCAAGCAGGTGAGTGGGAAACAGACTCTCCCCTACAGGCCAGCACAAGTGGCTACTGCCCTCTGTTGCCAATAGACAGTGGGCAATAGGTGTTGGAAAAAACGCCAAGGATATTAAAATGTGAGCCTTGAAAAAGGACTCATGAGCAATTGACAATTAGCAATCAGCTGGGTTGAAATTGATCAATGAGGGATTCAAAGTAATAAAAAATAATGAGTCCGATTAAAGGCAAAGCAGCAAAAAAAAGCTAGTAGCTTCTACTTAGAACACATAGTTCATGAAAATTACTATAACTAAACATTGTATTTAAGAACACTTTCTCGGCCAGACGCGGTGGCTCATGCCTGTAACTCCAGCACTTTGGGAGGCCAAGGCAGGCAGATTACTTGATGTCAGGAGTTCGAGATCACCGTGGCCAAAACGGTGAAACCCTGTCTCTGCTACGAGTACAAAAATCAGCCAGGCATGGTCGTGCACACCCGTAATCCCAGCTATTTGGAAGGCTGAGGAGGGAGAATCGCTTGAACCTGGGAGGTGGAGGCTGCAGTGAGCTGAGATCACACCACTGCACTCCAGCCAGGGTGACAGAGTGAAACCTTGTCTCGAAAAAAAAAAAAAAAAAAAAAAAAAAAACACTTTCTCTCAGCTTTTAATTTTTATTGCTGTTTCCCAAATTATTCTTTCTTTAGAACTGTTTATCACATGACAAGACCAAAAGATTTTTCTTTCCTTTTCTTCTTTCCTTCTCTCTCTCTCTCCCCCTACCTCCTCTTTTTTCTTTCTTGCTGTCTTTATGTCTTTCTTTTTTTTAAATAGAGATTCATGGCCTGTGTGGGCTAGTGAAATACCCACTGGGTTAGGGGTTGAAAGATATGGAGGCAAGTCCCAGCAACCTCACTTCAAACTCTGAGTCATAAGATAATAACATGAACCTAGAATAGCTAAGATAACTTTGAAAAGGAAGAACAAAGTTAAAGGATAAATGCTTCATGATTTCAACACTAAATGTAAATCTACAGAAATCAAGACAGTACGCTATTGGCATACAGATACCCAGATAGATCAGTGACACAGAGCGCAGAGAACAGAAATAGACCCTCCAGTACATGGCCAACTGACTTTCAACAAAGGTGCAAGATCAGTTCAGTAGCAAAAGGATACTCTCTTCAGTGGATGCTGTTTGAAAAAAATAAATACCAATAATATAAAAGAAACTTTGATTCCTAACTTGTATCATACACAAAAGATAATTCAAAATAGATCAGATATCTTAATATAAAACATAAAGCTTCTAGAAGAAAACATAGGGGAAAACCTTCATGACATTTTGTTAGGCAAAGATTTCTTAGGTATGCTACATAAAGCACAATCCATAAAAGAACAAGCTGGCAAATTGGATTTAACTGAAATTAAAAACTTCTGCTCTTTGAAAGACACTGTTAAGAAAATGAAATAATAAGCCACACACAGAGAGAAAACATTTGCAAATCATACATCTGATAAAATACTTGCATGTAGAATATATAAAGAATTCTTACATTTTTATAGTAAGAATGCAACTCATATTTTAAAATATGAGCAACCACTGCACTCCAGCCTGAACGACAGAGACTCCGTGTCACCATAAAAATAATAATAAAATATGTGCAAAAGATTTTAACAGGCACTTCACCAAAGAAAGTAAGAGAATGGCAAATAAACACATAAAAAGATAGTCAGGCCAGGCGCAGTGGCTTATGCCTGTAATCCCAGCACTTTGGGAGGCTGAGGTGGGTGGATCACCTGAGGTCAGGTGTTCAAGACCAGCCTGACCAACATGGCAAAATCCCATCTCTACTAAAAATACAAAAATTAGCTGGGCATGGTGGCGTGTGCCTGTAATCCCAGCTACTCGGGGGGCTGAGGCAAGAGAATCGCTTGAACCCGGGATGCAGAGGTTGCAGTTTGCTGAGATCGCACCATTGCACTCCAGCCTGGGCAATAGAGCAAAACTCCATCTCTCTCTCTCTCTCTCTCTCTCTCTCTCTCTCTCTCTGTGTATATATATATACACACACACACACACACACACACACACACACACATCTCTCTCTCTGTATATATATGTATATATATATACAGTTAAATATATATATATATATTTAACATCATTAGTCATTAGGAAATGCAACATAATTCCATAGTGAGACACCACTACACACTTAATGGAATGTGAAAACTTAAAAGATTGATGATACCAAGTGTTGAGTAGGAACTGGAGCAACTAGAACTCTCGTACATTCTGGGTGGGCATGTAAAATGGAAATGGTACAACCACCACGGAAAGTAGTTTGGCAGTTCCTTAAAAAGAAACTCTAAAATATGATTTAGTCACCCCACTTCTAGGTATTTACACAAGATAAAAAGAAACATATCTACATGTACAAAGACTTGCATAAAATTTCATAGATGCTTGTTGGTAATGCCTGGCAACTGGAAACAAGCCCAGCATTCATCAGCAGTGGAAAGGATAAGCAAATTGTGGTTGTATACATAAAATATACACAATTCAGCAGTAGAAAGGAGTAAACTTTTCTTATACACAACAATGATAAATTTCAAAATAATTTTGCTGTATCAAAGAAATCCTACAAAAAGAGAGTACATACTCTACGGTAGCATTTATATACAATTCTAGAAAATGTAAACAAATAAATAATTGCTTGGCAGGGACACATGGGAGGGGTCAATGGCTATGTTCCTTACATTGATTGTTTTACTGGCATATACGTGTGTAAAACTTATCAAATGGTACATTTTAAATATGGGCCTCTTGTATGTCAATAAAGCTGTTAAAAACAATATAAACCAACATTAGCCATTTAATTAACACAGGCCCACTTAAAGATGATAGATCAGGAAGTCAAAGCTCAGAGAAATAAAAGGACTGGCCTGAAGTCACAAAGCTGAAGAGACTTGAAATTCAGTCTCAGGTCTGTCTGAGTATACAACCTGTCTCTTCCGTCCTATACCACACAAACACATCTTAACCTCTTTTGTTTTGAAAATCTCTCATTTCAGGCCGGGCGCAGTGGCTCATGCCTGTAATCCTAGCACTTTGGGAGGCCGAGGCAGGTGGATCACGAGGCCAGGAGTTCAAGACCAGCCTGGCCAAGATGGTGAAACCCCGTCTCTACTAAAAATACACAAATTAGCCAGGCGTGGTGGTGGGCACCTGTAGTCCCAGCTACTCAGGAGGCTGAGGCAGGAGAATAGCTTGAACTCCAGAGGCAGAGGTTGCAGTGAGCTGAGATTGCACCACTGCATTCCAGCCTGGCGACAGAGTGAGACTGTTTAAAAAAAAAAAAAACAAAATTAAAACAAGAGATAATCTCTCATTTCAAAGACATCAAAATTCCTTCAAGTTGTGTAATCAGGATGGCAAGCATTTTAATGTATGAGTTCATGGCACGCCTGCATCTTCCCCCTCAGTAACTAGGATCTAGGGGCTTCCTAGGTCAGTTGGTAGAATGCATTGGATTGGAAAGGTTGGCCAGTCACTGTAAATTTAAAGGTGTTTTTCTGAATGCTTCAGAAAGTACCAAAAAGCCATTAAAAATGAAAGACTAATGGAACAATTATGTCCCATTTTGACTTGTAAAAACCAGGATTCTTTGTGTCTTCAGTATTTCTAGTATTTCTAAGATGTTAATCATTCCAATAAAGCTGAATGGCATGACAGATTTTCGGCACCTATCAGAGTGGCAGCCATTTCCAACTTCTTTTTTATTCTATATACTGTCAATGTCACTAACATAGATTACATTTCAATTACCTTTTTCTATTCACTGACTCACATACATTTCACTTAATTGCTAGATCCTTCCACGCAGTTTTCCCATTGTCTGGCTTCCACAACCTTATTTCTGTCACAGGTTGTACAGCCAATGGTCACCACATTGCAGAGTATATATCTGGTGTTTCAAGTGGGTTTTAGGGTTCCCCAGATTTAGAAATATGTACACCTGAACATAAAACTGGGTTCAGTTTTCTGAAGTCTGACCAATGAGCTGACATACTGATAGCTCACTGAGGTAAAAGAAGCTTTGTGATACAACTGAAGGATGTTTATACTTTCAGTGAACGAGGCATAGCAGCCTAAATGCAACCGATTGAACCACAAATAATACTTCTCAATCAAATGGCCTTTTATCTTTCTTGTCTCTAAATATACCCTTTTACCACACAGCTCGTTCTTAAAAAAAAAAAAAATCCGGTGGTCACAATGTCAATTGCTAACTTTATTTTCTATTTATATCGTCCACTTTATGAATACCCTTTTCCTCAATTTAATTAGTTAGTGTCACTCACACTTTAACTGGGAACATTGTAAGACTGAGCTGAATTTGAAAACAATGCCACGATGTCAGACTGAGTCACATCAATTTTCTAACTGCCCACCACAGCCACAGCGCAACTCAACGACACCCACACGGGTATCTGCGTCCTGGAATTGGACTTTTACATTTTTATTTTAATGAAAATGATGTATTACATATAAGTAAAACAACACCTTTAAAGATGGAAAAGACCCTTTTTTTCAAGCCTCAATTTCAGTTCTAGTGGGACAGCCAGGTGGGAGGGGGTCCCTGGAGAAACTCCAACCAGCCTGCCCTCTGCAGTGGGGAGGAGCCTGGCCCCTCCTCCTCCTGTGTGGAACCCGAGATTCAGGCTGAGCGCCGGAAGCCGTCTAGCAGGGACTCTGGCCTAGCGAGAGTCCCTGTTTCCCCCTTTTCTTCCTTTTCACCTAATAAAACCCTGTCTTACCCACCCTTTAAATTGTCTTGCAAGCCTGAATTTTTGTGGTCGTGGGACACAGAACCCCGTCCATGGCTGAACTAAGGAAAAGTCCTGCAACATCAGAACCTTCAGTTCCGCATAATTAAAGCTCAATGCAAAAGAATCATGAGCATAAGTCCTCTAAGAGCATAAATAATCAAGTGTTGCTGATGTTCCCTAATATTTGTGCGTTTTCAGCCTACACCCGCACATATCTAAACTGTTATCAATGGCATGAATGAGTCAAGACTTCAGTGAGGCAGCACATATTTCAATACAATGCAACTTCGCTGGCCACAATCAATAGAGTGTTTTTCACTATGCCATGCTTTGAGTATTCAGCAATCACTTCAGAATGGCAGACTGCCGTAAAATAGAGGCCAAATCCTACCCAGAGAAATTTTATGGTTTAAACAGATGTTCTAGAGAATTACTGAAAATTAATGTCCCAGTCCTAAGGTATTATGGCCAGTTAATAAGTGACATGGTGAACCATTGTGTTGCAACAAAACATAGTAGGTACTTGCCTTGAATAAATCAATTCTTTATTGTCATATTTTTGTGTCTTTCTCCAGATAAGACGGGCTGCTCTTTGAAAGTAAAAAGTACGTCTTTTTGCTTTGTATTTCTATGACTAGCACTGTGGCCGAGCTACGGTGTGCAGTGGATGGATGGATGGATGATGGATGAATGGATGGATAGACAAATGCATGGATCAATATGTGCATGTATGCCTTTGTGCCACATGGTACAATGTAACAGGAGACCTCGGCCAATGGTTGCAAATGCTCACATGACAAATGACAATCATCAGATTTACCAGATGCACAAGTTACAGTCAGAAATAGGTAGTATCTGATAATATCAAGATATATAATGGGACCCAAGAAATAGATTAAAGACTGACTTTATAAAAATACAGAACTGTAAGCATCAGCATCTGACCAGCCCAATCTCCTGGCTTCCAAGTAAGAAAACCATTCTGAAATGTTAAAGGAAAGGCCAATCATACATAGAGAGCTAGAAGCAGAGCTATAATCAGAAAACAGAGGTACCAACTTCAGTCCAAGGCTTGTATCACCTTAGGAATTCTATCAAGTACACACTCATGAAGTGACATTTCCTGAGGAGGTTGGCACTGGGAAAAACGGAATCCCAAGGAAGAACAAGATTTGAAGGTTTTTCCCAAAATGGTTATAATTTAAGTGGATTTATCAAGAACAATTTGTATCTGGTAATTAGGTAGTGATTCCAGAATGGAACAGGACATGAGCACCTTGGAGGACAGGACATTTGGCCTAGGGAGGTCTGGGTTGGTGGAGGACAGGACATATCTGGAGCTACAGAGCGAGAGTGGGCAGGCAGTTCAGGCATTCTCCAGTTGGCATAGACGGGACAGAATTCCTACGGGTGAGGGCTGAAAAAACAACAGGCACACATGAAGTCGTGCTCTGGGAGTTAATGAGAGGAATTTAGGTAGCCAAGAAAGAAAACTAGGCTGATGTGAGGCAACAGTAAGAAAAAATACGAAGCCACAGTAGGCTGGACCAGAACACTGTTGTGGTAAAAATGGAATCTCAATTAGCATAAGACAGTGAGCGAATGGACAGCAGTGGGAGAACCTGACAATGAGGAATTTTGAGGTTCTTGTAGATTCAGGAGTAGAATAAAGTCTGAATGCTAATAGTGACCAAGTTAGAACAGAAAGCAAACCAAAAAGACAGATGCACTAGAAACGTGATTGAAAAAGACCCAGAAGGGTTAAGTCAGGGTCTTTTAATGCAGAAGTTACTTTCAAGCTATTAATGAACAAATTAAAGACTACTTGATGTCAGGCTGTGCAATGGACATTTCTATGACGGTGGAAATACTCTATGCCTGAACTAATATTGTATCCACTGAACGTATTTACATTGTTTTGTAATCATGAGAAACTGAAATTTAATTTCATATAATCTATATAAATTTAGATTTAAATAACTACAAAAACCGGTGGCCACATGTGAAGTTTGGCACACAATGCATTCAGTGTACTATAGAGCTATGAAATGCCTAAGGAAAAGGAATAAAATTCTACACATAATAAGTTTTATACTGTTATATTCTTGATGCATAATTGCTACATTCTAGGCCACCATTGCTCTCAAATATACTGGCACCAAGAAATTCTATTGCCATTTTCAAGTTGAAGTTTTCAATTATCTTTCCTTTCCTGTAACATTCTAGAAAGGATCTGAGACAATTATACAAATGTATACCAATAACATTTAAGTAGACAAAAAATGGAGAGAACATGAAATACTGAGAGACTACTGAGGACAAAAGATAAAGAGAGCATATAGAAATAAAACCCAGAATAGATGACAGTTTCTTAAGATAAGTCCTGACCTTCCTAGTGGCCTAAGGAGAGTCAACATTGTACTCTGTAACCGTTGTATTACCTATAGCATAGAAAACTTATGTGTCATTCAGGAGAACTAATATTTTTCCTGGACTGAAGTTTGAATCACGCAAATGTCTTTGAATCGCACAAATCATTTGCCCAAATCGTGCGACTCTCTGTAAGCTTGTGAGCCGTGAGTTGGCACGTTCCTGCCGGAATTGGAGAAGCAAAGGCTGAAAGAAGCAGGCAGATTGACAGGTGATGTAGATGCATGGAGACAAAGAAGGGGTCTTTGGACCAATGGTTCTGTTGCCCCCGAGACCCACCCCTGTCCCTGGGAAACAGGAGACACCCCCATCCTTGATAGTAACCCCCTCCTCTCTTCTTATATTAGCTTTAGTTGGTTCTGTTCCTGTCAACCAGATGAGCCTTAGTGCAGAGGGGAACATCTTGCAGGAGTTGACGAAGAGCGGAGCAGTGTTAGTGGGTGATTTCCTCAGCGACCACGTTGTAAGAGGAGATTGTGCATCTGTTTCTGTCTCTGTTTCTTGCACTGCCCGTTGCTGTGAGTTGAGAGTTTAAGGCTGAGGCACATTCAGCAAGGGTCATTTACAGAACTTCAACAGCACACTCACCAGCCCCTTTCCCCCCCACAACGTGCAAAGTGCAATATCACCCATATTAAATTGATTGAAAGTTAAATTTTTGTCATGGATTCCATGATACCACTCACGAGCATTTGTGAGCTACAAGCTGAAGACCTACCCGTCCTGAGCTGAATCGAGAAACCTAAGCATTACCTTCAACGCCTGCCTGCCCTTCCTCCACACGAGGCCCATCACGAGTCCCACTGAATTTGGTCTTTCACCTCTCCTCTTGCCCCTTTGCAACCATTTTCCTCCCTCCAGCAGGAGTATTCTTTTAAAAATGCAGATCTGATCATGCCACTTCTCTTATATGAAGCTTCCAGCATCTGACTTCCAGGACTGCATCCTCCAGGGTGGGCTTGCTGGGCCCTGCCCATTTGCTGGTCTCTTTCACTCTCCTCCAGCCACTCTGGTCTCTCCATGCTACAGACATGCTTTGCTCTCTCCTGTCTCAAGGTTTTACCTCAAGTTGTTCCTTTCTTCCCCTGTCCTGCCTCACTTCCTCCGTTTCTTCCATCTCTTATCTAATCTGTAATTATATAGCTGCATGGTTTTTCATAAATATCTGAAACCCCCACTGAATTGCAAGCTCCTTGAGGGGAAGAAGCTTATCTATTCTGCAAACCGTTGCTTCTCCCTGTGACGCAGAGCCTGCAGTGTAGTAGATACTGCCTATAAAATGGACAGGATGCTTGGATTTGCTTTATCTGACATTTTAAGGACACACTTTATAAATTGTAGAGGCCTATGCAACCGTCTTTGTTTTTACTTAGAGGATACAAATTATATCATTCAACAGGATGCCACAGTTCCATATATTTCTCAAAATGTGACCAGATGCACCATTTTTAATGAAAATTAAGCTCTACTTCCAAGTTAAGGGAAAATTATTTTAAGCTATTGATACAAGTTTTAAGAATTCAGTAATTTAATTGTGCATTTCTATGTGAAATAAAAACAGGAAACTTATTAGGGTGTTTTCTGTAATATGAATAATTAATATTTGCAATTTAGAAATCTATCTCCCTACAATGTAGCTGTAGTCTCAGAAGGAAAGTGTATTAAAACAATAGCTAAATGCTTTCAATTCAAAGTACTTGGTATTAAATCCCTCAGGCATCAAAATAGCTCTGTAGTCTTTTCTAGAATAGTATGCCAAGCAGTCTTAAACACATATTTTATTGGCATCAGAAAAGCAACTGCAAATGTTTTCTCTTGTATTCAAACTCCTTTAAAAAAAAGATTCCATTGCTGAGCTCTGACAAATATGCCTCCTACTACCACACCAGGTTCCTTTGCAAACACACAATTCACAATTAAAAGCAATTTTGTAAAATGCCTTGGAGTGGTTAAATATGTAATTGGGTAATTTTCTGAAATGCTTATTACTTACTTCAGCCTCATTTCAGTCTCACTGGTAAACAGTATATTCCTGTTAAGTGTTATTATCCCCAAAAACGCTTCCATAATCTTCAGTGTTCCTTTAACATTCCTATAAACACATCATATATTACTTGGGGACGTGGATCATGAAACACAGAAGCTACCCGTGCCAGTCCCTTATTTAAATGGCAAAGTGGTCTTCCTTGTCTCTGAACCCGGGTTTTCTAAATCATTCGCATAGTGGAAAATGAACAATAGGACTTTTAAACCTCCTTATGATTTAGATTATATCTTAGCTGGTTGCAAATCTCATTATCAGCTTTACAGCTTGATTTATTTTTATTTTTGGATCAGAAGGAAGAATGGCAAAATTACAGCCTAGACGTTTGCTTTGGAAAATAAAGTTTGAAGTTAGCTGTTGTTGATTTATACCCAGTATGCTATACTTAGCATGAGTGTACAGTTAAGCATACTTTATAGGTAATTACTCCTTCTATTGATATGATGATAGCTACAGAAGCTGTGTACAACCGAGAACAACACCCAATTCTTGAAACAGTACCTTCTAAAGTGGTATATTAGGCAAATAAAGTGTGATGATGGTGGTGGTATTTCATCCAACAAGAGATATTAGATAAATAAATTGTGATGATGATGGTGGCATTTCATCCAACAAGAGGTCTTACTCCCTCTGAAACCAACATCTTTTACTACTTGCTTAGTTATATATGAACAATAAAAACTCACCAAGATCACTGATTTTGTTGAAATGAAGAGAAAGTAAACAGTCTCTAACTGAAACGAGCATGTTCAAATTAAAATAGGGAGTAACAAATCAAAAACAAAATAAAACAAAATGCTTTGAATTGTTTTTGAAGGCAAAGTGTCCCAAATACTTTTACTTCTATGCTCTATTATTTTAGGTCCTACTTTTCTACACCATAACACAGTATTTTAATATTAATAAACTAGTTTCCCTCTATGTTAATAACAGAGATCAATTAAAATTTGGTCTTTGTCATTTTGCAGTTAGGTTATTTTAACTCACAATACAACATGTACAGTTCTTTTATTCTACAAAAATATATAGTATTAAGAAACCAAAACCATTTTAATCAAAATTTCTGCTATGACTTGAAGACTACAGAAGCCCCTATTTTTGCCTGTTGTTCCCTTGATAAAGTATTGATATGGAAGTCTCAATTACTAAAACAGAAAAAACTTATGCCTGCTGTCATTGACCACATTTTTTTTTTTTTAGACAGAGTCTCGATCTGTCACCAGGCTGGAGTGCAGTGGCTCAATCTTGGCTCACTGCAACCTCCACCTCCCGGGTTCAAGTAATTCTTCTGCCTCAGCCTCCTGAGTAGCTGGGACTACAGGTGCACGCCACCATGCCCAGCTAATTTTTCTGTATTTTCAGTAGAGACGGGGTTTCACCATGTTGGCCAGGATGGTCTCGATTTCTTGACCTTGTGATCCTCCCACCTTTTTTGTTGTAAAATAATCCTTGATATGCTTTATGGACAACCCCTCCCCACGGTTCCACAGAACACAGTTTGATAAACATCAATCTAAAGGTACTGCAGAGAGGCTGAGATGCTAGTGTGTCTTGCAGAGCCATTAGGAGGCACTGTCTCCACGTACTGATTTGATTGTATTTTTTCATGCTGAGTCTGACCAATTTCATGGATTCAGTAAATAGTAAGACTTGGTTTAGGGGCCAGCAGACAAGGATCATAACATCTTTGAGGTGGAAGAAGTCCTAGACATGAAAGAGGTTTTGTGAATAAAAGGTGGAGAGGGAAAATGAACTTTACAGTCAGGCAGACCTATGTTTACATTTAGCTTCTGAGAGCCTTAGTTTCCTCATCTGCAGAAGGAGATTATTAGTATCAACCACAGAGAATCACTGTGAGGCTTATATATGGTAATGTACGCAAAAGGCCTGCCCTAGTATCCAGTAGCTAGAAAGTAACGTGACCAAAATAACCAGGTTAAGTTGGGGTAGAGTCAGGATTAGCCTCACGACTTATAGTTCAGTACTATTTCTACCATAGTGATCTAATTTGAAGAACAAGTTAGCTAATGAGTGCATCTTGCTGTAGGTCCAAAAACAACCTCCAAGACAAACTCAGCATTTCCCTTACAACAATCAGCATGGGCCGGGCACGGTGGCTCATGCCTGTAATCCCAGCACTTTGGGAGGCTGAGGCGGGCGGATCACTAGGTCAGGAGATCGAGACCATCCTGGCTAACACGGTGAAACGCCATCTCTACTAAAAATACAAAAACAAAATTAGTCGGGTGTGGTGGCGGGCGCCTGTAGTCCCAGCTACTCAGGAGGCTGAAGCAGGAGAATGGCGTGAGCCCGGGAGGCGGAGCTTGCAGTGAGCCAAGATCAGGCCACTGCACTCCCGCCTGGGCGACAGAGCAAAACTCCTTCTCAAAAAAAAAAAAACAAAAACCAATCAGCATGGCAGAAAAAAGAACGCTCCGAAGCAAAGCTGCAAGCATTAACTATTGTACTTCTGATGCCCATCTAAAGACACACAGGAAATTTGCTTAGAAATTATAACACGGTGGAGAAGTAAACAGTTAGAAGTCACTCTCAACTGAGGCTGTTTAGGTATTTGTAACTATGTTACCTTAAAGGTTACTGTTCTAATAATAAAGTTGTCCTGTCCTGGCTGGGGGTGGGGGGCTGGGGGTGTGGGGATGGGAGTGCAGGGAGGTAGGGGTCTTCCGGACACTGCATCAGGGGAGGTAGCAGCCCCTCACTCAGGTGTGACTAGGCTGGGATAACATGGATACTGTGGTATCCCTAGAGTATCCATGTTATCTGGCTTTAGTGATGGCATTCCTGAAAATGAAATGTGTATCTGAAATGTGCTTTCTGTTAAGATGTATCAAAAATTTATGTTTTCCTGAATTTTAAAACTGACTGGTTTAGAAAAATGAATGGATGACTTCATTTTTTCTACTTTGTTCAAATCTAGTCTAATTAAGTTTTTTTTTTTTCTGCAGCGTAAGACATGAGTTATGTCAGAAACAAGAGGTTCTGATATTTGAAATGACTAAACACGAAGGGGGCTCCCAAGGGAAGTTAGGGTATTCCTTCTGAAAGTCCTTCAAGACAGGGTTGATTTTTAAGTGTTTGGGATGGCTCAAATGCATCTGAAATAGATTAAAACTGAAAATATTAGTGCATCACATATAGTAGGAAAGTATTATTTTGTGAAAGGGTTTTCAATTACATGCGTGTGTACATTTTATATGTTTATAGCTCTTGATGTAAAATGTATCTCTTTCCATAGGTAGCAGCAACGTAACTTTGAAATCCACTGGCCTAGATCAGTGCTCTCCAAAATTTTGGTGGAAAACCCCTATTAGTAAAAATAAAGAATTGATTATGAATACCAATACTGATTCAATGCAAATACTGCTTCTATTTTATATACATTTAAACACATGGAAAACAAAAGATAGAAAAACAAAAAAAATTTAAAGGAGGATATAAAAAGTAAATCAAACACAGAAATTATAAAGTTTTCTTCCTGTAGCCCAATGAACCATAGTCTGGAGTCCACTTCTTTTAGTGTAGCTCCCAATTCCATTAGAATACCGTGACCCCAATTTCAAACTACATATCTGTTTAATATCATACTTGATTTCAGTCCACAAGCACATAAATGAGTTTTATTCATTACTCATCTGCAGCCTATTCAGAATACAAAATTTTCTGGAAAGGACTTAGAAGTTATACTAACAACCCAGTTAAAGCAGCCTACCAATGCTATCAGTGAGAAGAGAAAAATAATACAGAGTGGTAGCCTCAGTAATGCCGCTATTTATACTCCTACATATACCTCTTTCTGAAAAAGATTAGTTTAGAAAATCTGGTTTTGTGCAATAGATCTAATATAAGAATTTTATAAAGAACTATCAATAACTTTCCAAGTTATTTGTTTTCACAAGCACGTATTTATGGAACGTTTTACATTTCTTATAATGTTAATCCCTGATTCAAAGGAATTAATTATTCCTATATCAAAGTATTAATGTAGAAAATGTCAAAAAGAAAATAAGATTTTTACTTTTCAACTATACAACTTCAATTAAACCTACATCGCAGCTTCAGGTTTCCCGTGTGAGTCACGCGTTTCTAGAATGCATTCTAAAACTGGTGCATAGGTTTGGTGGTGACTGGGTACCAGGTACTGTGCCAGTCATTTTTATATACCATCTGATTTATGACCTCTGAGTTCAGAATTCTCTTCATTTTAAAACGAGGAAATCAGCTCGACATCCAGTTGAGTGGGCTGGTCAATGAATTGGCACCATCTGAGTACAGGGTCCTCACTTTGCCCAAGGTTCCTGAAGCATGAACATAACCAAGCCTACTCCTTGGAAGCTGGGCTCCCAGTACCCCTAGAGGAATATCTTTTTGACAGAGGCTGCCAGATGTCCGCCTAAATTCCTCTTTTCTCTGGTTCCTAGGCCTCTACTCAAGGGTCCATTACTGAGACTCCCTCGAAGGTATATATAGCCAAATGACTAAGGCCTAGCTTAAGGATCTTAGGGGTGTGTGCTATTTCTGGGCTGGGATTATATGAAAGATGCATGCCTAGTTTATAATTTCATTCCCCTCTGCCAGCTGGATCTTGGATGTGGGGATTAAGCTTGACCATGGAGATATGGACCAGGCCCAGTGGGATAATAAAGGCAAAAGATACAAATGCCCCTCAGAAGATAACCACCACCCACCTGAAACGCCCACCCCAGGCAAGAATTATGCTGCGGTTGTGTGTGAGCCACTGATTACATTGTTGGCTTTACTGTAACTGTTGGCAGTTTAGTCCACAATAACTGGACGCCTCAGGTCCTGACAATCCATCCTGGGAGAGCCAGGGACTGAGACATGACCACAAATGCTGTCCTAGCCACCTGCACCCCCAAGAAGATGCTTGAATCTTTACATTTACAAAGCACAGGAAAGTTAGGAGGATCCATCCTGAAACGTCTGCTAGTGAGTCTAGATTTTCAAATCAGAAAATTGGCAGAAAGAGCCCTGCATTCCCCAGGGACACTGCGTTGAAGCTCAGGAAACCAGCCCACATGGAGCATGGGGAAGGGCTTTTGGGAAGGCTGGAGGACAAGGCGTGTCTTAGGAACACCCAGTAGCTTAACCGCAGGGAGCAGAACTTACATACAGAGGGCTCACGTTCAATAGGCCTTTTCTGAACTTGGGGGTGCTGAGTATTTAAAAACTATTTCAGAATTGAGAAACTGATTGTTATAGGATAAAATGTGTACCCCCAAATTCATACATTGAAGTTCTAACCCCAGTTCCTCAGGATGTGACTCTATTTGGCAATAGAGCCTTTATTTATTTATTTATTTATTTATTCATTTATGAGACAGAGTTTCATTCTGTCACCCAGGCTGGAGTGCAATGGTGCCGTCTCAGCTCACTGTAACCTCCGCTTCCCAGGTGCAAGTGATTCTCCTGCCTCAGCCTCCCGAGTAGCTGGGATTACAGGCGTGCACCACCACGCCCAACTAATTTTTGTATTTTTAGTAAAGACGGGATTTCACCATGTTGGTCAGTCTGGTCTTGAACTCCTGACCTCAGGAGATCCACCCGCCTCAGCCTCCCAAAATGGTGGCATTACAGGCGGGAGTCACTGTGCCTGGCCGGCAACAGGGCCTTTAAAGAGGTAACATGAGGCTATTGGTGTAGATCTTCACCCAATCTGACTGGTGTCCTTAGAAGACGAGGAGATGAGGACAGAGGCACAGAGGGAAAATAGACCACAGGAGGACACAGGCAGGACGATATCTACCAGCCAAGGAGAGAGGCTTCAGGAGAAATCAACCCTGCTGACACCTTCATCTCAGACTTCCAGCCTCCAGAACTGTGGGAAAATTAATTCCTGCCGTTTAAGCCACCCGGGCTGCGGTATTTTGTAATAGAAGCCTGGGCAAACTGAGACAGTAGTTGATGGCCGGGCGCAGTGGCTCATGCCTGTAATCCCAGCACTTTGGGAGGCCGAGGTGGGCGGATTACGAGGTCAGGAGATCGAGACCATCCTGGCTAACACGGTGAAACCCTGTCTCTACTAAAAATATAAAAAATTAGCCTGGCATCATGGCGGGCACCTGTGGTCCCAGCTACTCAGGAGGCTGAGGCAGGAGAATGGTGTGAAATTGGGAGGCAGAGCTTGCAGTGAGCCGAGATCGCGCCACTGCGCTCCAGCTTGGGCGACAGAACAAGACTCCACCTCAAAAAAAAAAAAAAAATAAAATAAAATAAAATAAAATAAAATAAAAGCACTGCTGTGCTTGAGCCACAAGAAAGAGCTGTCACAGGTAGCAGCTTGGGGGAGGGATCAGGAGTGATGCTGAGGAAGTAAATAAGATTACTTCTTTGAATGCTGTTCTTATTCCTCCTTCCTTGTGTTTCACCACTGCCTTTTGTACAGTGTTTTCCTCTATAAATATATAATTCCAAGACTGGTGATGTCTAGTAATGGTTCAAAAAGCAGAAAATATAAGAAATATTATTTTTTCCAAACACTCGAGTAGAATCAGTGATGGAACATGTGAGATCACCTGGAGGGCATTCAGACTTTACTGCAAATAAATAATACAATTACTTGGTTTGGGTATTAGATATTTATGTTCATCTTGACATTAGAATATTAAGCCACTCCTCCTCTTGCTAACTTGGTATGCATTGAAAACATGAAATTCTCTCAGTCTCCTGCTTTGGAACCAAACAGTATAAACCCTCATAAATATGTAAATCAACCCCTCTAAGCACATTATTAATTATTTCAAAGATAGTAGGAGGTCACTAGCTCATAGCAATTTCTATGCATGAAGTCTCAGTAACACAAGACATCGCACAGGGAGGAAGAATAAAGTTTTATCACAGTTACCGAATGTGTGTGTGTATGTGTGTGTGTGTTTGTATGTAAGTGGCCAAAGCAACATACAGTATTGAATGCAGCACCACTAGGCTCTGAATAGACGCCTGTGGGTGATGATGATGGCGGTAGTGATGAAGGAACGGAATCTACAGCTAGAACAGTATTTTTTTTTGAACCTGTCTGCACCAGGAATAATATTTTTAAAATCCAAAGGGATTCCAGCCTCAGATACACTTAAATTGTTCTTGACCCACATGGCCCTGCTTTCTTCTGGAATAAAGTTCTGACTAGTTGCAAAAATCCATAGCTCAGGAAGATATAGCAGGCATCTCATTTCCTGTGACACTGCAGAGATCACAGACTGTGTTGCTCAATGTGTCTCTAATGTTGCATATTGCCGAGCGGCTCTCTGGCTGCTGTAAGTCAGCTTCGTTTAGGTGATTCTCAGCAATCGACATGTTCTGATATAGGCCGTGGGGCTCGCTGAGGTGGAACCACCCAAAACACCAAATCTGAAGCAGTTGAGGACGTTGGATACAACACTGACAGATGATGGAGGATATTTAACACAGGCAATGAACTCTGCTTTTTACAATTCATCAAACAAATATAAGACGCACTCTCACCAAAGTGCAATAAACTGATCTTGTCATCCAAGCAATTCTTCCCAGTCACTAGTCCAGTTTGCTTTTAAATCTCTGATTGTAAGCTTAAAATTTATCTGATGAAAAAGATAATAAACTATTTTCACACCCAATAACACACATCCCTCAACCCAATGAGGAAGACAGCCATTATCTAGTGTAATTAACAAAATATATATAACAAAAATAAGAATGAAAAAACCTTGAATGGAATAATTTGCACATATATTCAGAGGTTCAGGACTAGGAGTATTACTGGAATTTAGATGGTTCTGGAGAGGGACATTTGGCAAAACCTTTCAAGCACTACTAGTTTGAAAGTTAAAAGCAGGCAAAAACTTGCATTATTTAGGGTTGTATATATAGGTGGTAGTGCTACAAAGAAAAGCAGGGAATGATAATTATTAAGATCAGATAGTAGTTATATCTAGACAGGCAGAGGAAGCGGCTATGGAGGAGATCACACGGAGGCTTCTGGGCTGCTGGCTCACATTGTGTGATCCAGGTGGTGGTTACAGAGGTTTTCTATAACTATGCAAATCTATAACTATACAAGTGCTATAAGCACTCTTGTGTATGCATAATATGGCTCATAATAAATTTAAGAATACATCAAACCATTTAAAATGATATATTTAAAGGTCAATTAGTATTTTATTGACTACGTTAGAATCCTCCCAGCCTCAGGAGGTGCCCACTCTGATGACAATGCAGAATGCATACATTCAAAAATTGTGCCAACTGCTGACGAGGCAGGGGGAAAGAATTCAGGCCATTCTACTATCTGTTTATCTATCTATCATCTATCTATCTATTATCAATCAATCAACCCATCCATCCATTCATCTATCCATTTATCTATCTGCACATACACACTACACAAACACACACTAAAAAGAAGAAGAAATCCTAAAGACAGCTGTTTTGAGCAACTTTTGTAGCTACCTTAAGTACTGACAGACATCTTTCCACATTTCTTTGCATAAGTAATAAATTTATAGCTAAAAATTGTTTGTGTTTGCCCTCATAAAACAAAGGTAGAATGTGCTTTTTAAGAGTTTTTGGCAGAAATGGGTGGAAAAAATTATTTTTATTCTCTCTGCTATTCAGAACATTCCCACCTTATTTTTGCTTTCTCAAATGTTATTTTATCTTTAAACACTTAATAAGATGCAGAAAAAGAAGAAGAAGAAGGGGAAAGAAGTCAGTTTGGAGAGTCGAAATTCAAGGAAAGTAAGAACTGGGCAAAGTTGTCTTGGCGTTCCTCCCAGAGAGGAAGGGAGTGATGCTGCTGGAGCTGTTTCAAACGGACGGACGGAATCACTTCATCTGTAATCCAGACACATGCATGCATCAGGCAAACATAAAATTCTGTTGTCTTCTCTGAAGTAGAATTCTATAAAGGCAGCATTTCCAAGGCCAAAAAGATGACCGAACAGACAGTGCCCTGTTGATCCAGCTAGAATGAGCTCTGCAACACCATCAATTTTGTCCTACAGCTCTTTTTCTGGTCCTTGTCCGTGTACCAGTCACTCCTTATAATGAAGTCACTTGATTGAGTGTTGTTCCTGTTGCAAGCAGGGAGAGGAAAGCTGAGAAGCCATTCAATAAATGTTATGTTTCGCCCTCCTCTCCACCAGCGTTAGAGACTGCTGTGTGTTGACAGCCCGTTTGCTTTTTCTCCTTGGCACAGGGCCAGATCCTGTTTCCTCCCCCATCCTTTCTACTCCCTGAGCACACACACACACACACACACACACACACACACACACACACACACACACACGGCGTGGCTAGGCAGGGCCATGTGGCTGAGTTCTGGTACAAGGAACGTGGAAATAAGTGACATGCTCCATTTGCAGGCCTGGGATCTAAACCTGAGTCTCCAGTGTGGTGTGCTGCTTGCTCTTCCTCCGCCAGCTGGCCCCATGAAGAGGATCGAGCTGAGACACAGGGGCTGCTGTGGGTGACAGAACCAGAAGATGGCAGGATTCGGGTCTGGGTCCCTGGATAACGGAGTGGAGCAGAGGCCCCTTGGCCAACCCACACTGGACCATGACATGAAGGGAAATCAATCTTGACCCTGTTCAGCCACTGCGATTCCAGTGTTGCTTTGGTTAGAGAAGTTAGACTATTACCCTGACTTTACACCGCCTCATGCATCCAAATCAAAGGAAAACTGTCAAAATTGCTAAATCATTCCCAAAAATAAAACAGGAAGGAGTTTAAACTCCGAAGCTTAGGAAGTTTGATTTAATTTCAATCAATTTGGAGGCAGAAGGAACTTTGAACTTGGACTACAAGCACATCAGGAGTTAGTTTCAATGTGGCTTCAATCCTGGTGCCACCATTTTCACAGTGGCAATTATAATTATACAAGGTCCAGGAGCTAGAAAGAGAATGGACTGTCTGTTTCAGCGAGGCAGGCAAACAGACAGGCAGACACATGGAGATTGCATGTGGATAGGCTCTGGGTAGTTTAACATTTTAAAGCTTATAATACGGATTGCCAAATTGCTTTATGGAAATATATGAATTTATATTCTTACCTCTTTTGAATGTGTGTCCATCATTTTATATTTTATGCTTTAAGTTAGCAATTCTTTTTTTTTTAAGACAGGGTCTCACTCAGTCACTCAGGCTGGAGTGAAATGGCACAATCATGGCTCACTGCAACCTCAGCCTCCCAAGCTCAAGCAATCCTCCCACCTCAGCTTCCCAAGTAGCTGAGACTGTAGATATGCCCCAACACACTGACCTAATTTTTAAATTTTTTGTAGAAAAGGGGTCTCCCTGTGTTGCACCAGGCTAGCCTCAAATTCCTAGGCTTAAGTGATTCACGTAGCCCTCCCAAAGTGCTAGGATTACAGGCTTAAGCCAGGGCACCCAGCCTAAGTTAGCAATTCCGTAGCAACTAATTATGTTGAATTTTTAATATGCGTGTTGGCCATTTGCATATATTCTTTTGTAACGCATCTTTTAATATATTTACCTAGTTTTCCAATGTGTTTTAGGAGTTATATTAACATGATTATTTGTATTTAGGAGAGCAATGTTCGAAAACCAAAAAATATTCCTTCATATTAGATTTTATGTTTTGCTCCCTAAGTAGGTGTCTGCAACCCAAGTTTCTTGACTCCCTAGGCATCGAGAATATCTCTGTATCTAAACAGGATCAGAACTGTCTGTCTCATGCTGCACTATGACTGACAACAACCAAGAAGCATAACGGACTATAGTTGGTGAGCTGAGATAATAGATGGAAAGGGAATTGCATTCTAAGTTAGGTGAAAACTAGAATTACATGAAAAGTGACCTGGGAGTACAACAGTAAAAACAAAAAACAAAAGGCAAAAACATAACCGATGGACTTGAATGGTACTAATGGTGAGGCTGATGGCATTTCATAGGGAAGGTGGGAAACTACTTCCTCAGCCCCTAGAGCAACAGAAAAATCTGTGCTACCAGGGCTTATAAAGGACAAGAAGTAAGTGCATTTTGCATAGTAGCCATCATTCTACAGTAGCACTCTCAACAAATCAACCTAAATACATGAAGCTCCACCAAGTTGGGTGAGTGCTACTCAGTTTTAAAAGGAGATGCAGAGGGTGCTTCATCATTTCAAAACAATTCCGAGCATAGACTACTAGTAATAGCTGGCAGCAAACCTTTCAGGATAATTAAAAAGATTTTACCAAAGCCCATACCTTTAGGTAAGAGTTTGTCAGAGGTTCTGGAAATAGGCTGTTTTGGCTATGTTTGTCAATCTTATTTTCAACTTCATCAAAATGTACTGAAAAACTCATGCTAGCTAGCAAGTCAAATCACTAGAGATTACATAGACATGGGCAGAGGGAGTATTTTTGCATTTATGAATGCTACAGACTCCCATTGAAAATGCCTTCTTGCTTACAGACTGCCCACCCCAGAGTAGTTCTTAAATATTTAAACGTGGGAACTTTAACAAACCATGATGCCTAACCTAAAAGGTTACCATTTAATTGGTCTGAGGCATGGCCTTGGCATTGGGATCTTTAAAAACTTCCATGTAACTGAAAAGCATATCTGGGGTTGAAGACCACAGCCTAGGGAGAGGCAGGGCAGCAGAGAAGCAGGAGTACGGAGCTCTGGAGCCAATCGTATCTGGGTTAAACTCTCAGCTTTCCTCCTCCTAACTCTGTGATCCTGGTTGCTTAATGATATCGAGCCTTTACTTCTTCCTCTGTACAAATAAGAATAATAATTTCTACCTTATAGTTGTTTTAAATATGAAATAGTGCTAATAAATTAGAAATGTTCTTTTCTTGACCTTCTTCCCATAGAACTTTCAAAGGTATGATAGTTTAACTGTTGAGGCAGGCTTATCTATTCACACAGTGATTAGGAACGCAGGCGCTAGAGCCATAACTCTCTGGCTTTGTACACCAGCATGTGCAATTTAATGAACTTCTGAGGTTCCATTCCTTCATTTATAAAAATGAGAAGAATAACAACATCCATCCTAATAGGGTTTTCTGGAGATTCAATGGAGGTTTATGAGTAAGCACTAAGAATGGCACCATATTTATAGTAAGCGCTCATTAATCATTACTCGTTTTTGAATTTTAGGGAAATAAAATTTCATATCCTACCCTTAGAAAGTATAACACAATATCTGGTCAAAGAATGAGTTCACACTAGGAGAGCAGGGTTTCTACCTGGATGGTATTTTAAGCCAGTTTTAATTATTCACCATCATAATTTTGTCAATGAAAAAGATTGGTTCATTGTTGCCTGGCCATACCTTGAAGAATGTATAAGGTGTTTAGCTTAAGAAGTTTGAAAGAGACACAAAAAACTAGACGATGGAAACAGAAAAGAACATCTTATTACACACATCTTGATAGCAAGAGGTATTAGATATTTATCTAGAAATGAATATATACAGACACTGTTAAGACGTTTGGTGCATGAGACCAGTGTAATTTGGAAAATGGTTTGCTAACTCTACGGATATTCTCATATATATATATTATATATATGAGAATATATATATAATATATATATACACAATATATAAGAGATATTTTATATACATATATATCTATATATGTATATATAGATATATATGTATATGTATATATGTATATATGTATATGTATATATGATATATGTATATATGTATATATGTGTATATATGTATATGTATACGTATATATGTATATATGTGTATATATGTATATGTATACGTATATATGTATATATATGTATACATATATATGTGTATATATATGTATGTATATCTAGTTAACAGTCCCAGGGGTTTAAAAATTATTATTATGGTCTTATAACATCTGTATTCAAATTCTATTACATGATTTCCTAGGCTAAGGAGACACTAAATAATGAATTTGGGGGAAAGGACCATTTGTATGGGCTAGGGGCAGGGTGGAGAGGAGGTGAGGGCTATAGCTGCATTTATGGAAAAGCACAGAAGATCCTGGAACAGTGCCATGCATGGGACATTTGCTTCTTCCACAGGTTGAGTGGTGACTATGCCACCCCAGCAGGAGGAGTCATTCCAATTTGTGGTGATCAAAGTCCTTTGGACCACACCAAGATAGAAATACAACCACCAAACAAATTCAAAGAACATATTTACCAATAAATCTACCCCATTTGCAGCTTCATTCACACTCCTAAGTTCAGGAAAATCAAGGAATGGATTGGAGCTATGGATTCCAGTACCAGATTAATCCATCTTTTATGATTAGATAGAAACTTTATCATTGAAAGGAACCGATGGCTTTAGGGATAAAATGTCCTTTGATTGCATAAATAAATCTTGCTTTAATTTTCTTGGAGGAATTACAATCCAAAAATAGCCAGTAGTCCCCACGGGGGCTCAAAACAATTCGCACAGGCATTTTAAGCTGGGATGGTGGAGAGGTTAATGGACCACTCTTCAGAGAAATCAGCAAGGGCCACTCCCAAGATTCCATACGTCAAAGACAACACTGGGGTCTGACTCTGGAGGTCCAGCCATTTTATACAATTAGAATTGCTGAGGAGGTCAGCCAAGAACCTCCAGAGAAACATTCCACAGCACCAGGAGTGCACGATCAGCAACGTGCCCAAAGTGCCCATCGTGTTGTCAGGGGCTGTGCTGCATCTGACCACAGACAGGATCAGGCATGGACTCTGAAGCCTTCCCGTAGCAGTCCAGCTTCCATAAAGCTGTGCTTTCAATACATTATTTGTTTCTTTACAGAATTAACTGTCATTTCTGTTTTCCATACGTATTATTAATATATGTTATTTATTTATTTATTTTTTGAGACTGAGTCTTGCTCTGTCGCCCAGGCTGGAGTGCAATGATCTCGGCTCACTGCAACCTCCACCTCTCTGGTTCAAGTGATTCTCCTGCCTCAGCCTCCCGAGTAGCTGGGACTACAGGCACCTGCCACCACGCCTGGCTAATTTTTGTATTTTCACTGGACACGGGGTTTCACCACGTTGGCCAGGCTGGTCTCGAACTGCTGACCTCAGGTGATTCGCCCACCTTGGCCTCCCAAAGTGCTGGGATTATAGGCATGAGCCACTGCGCCTAGCCAACATATGTTATTTATAAGATTCATAGACATTGATATAACCTTTAGCTCCACCACAGAAGAAAGCTGTGCCCTGGGAGTAATATGGGTTCCATCAGCTCTTGTTCCTGATAATCTACCATTTTGATTTATAGTTTGATAAGCTTTGATCCTATTCTTTCCTTTCCTTTCTTTTCTTTTTTTTCTCTTTTTCTTTTCTTTTCTTTTTTTTTTTTTTTTTTTTTTGAGATGGAGTCTCGCTCTGTCACTCAGTCTGGAGTGCAGTGGTGTGATCGTGGCTCACTGCAACTTCCATCACCTGGGTTCAAGCGATTCTCCTGTCTCAGCCTCCCCAGTAGCTGGGATTATAGGCATGTGCCACCACACCTAGCTAATTTTTGTATTTTTAGTAGAGACAGGGTTTCATCATGTTGGCCTGGCTGGTCTCATGCCTAGCCTCAAGTGATCTGCCTACCTCGTCCTACCAAAGTGTTGGGATTACAGGCGTGAGTCACTGTGCCCAGACTATAAACTTTGATTTTCTATTTCTATTTTGTTATCATTTTATTTTATGTGTCTTGTTCTATGCTCCACGAATCAAGGCAAAGCCAAATAAACCAAGAAGAGAGATCACCAGATAGATGGGTAATTGGCTGATTTATGCATTGAATTATAGGAAATCCCAATCCCAACCTACAATGAAAGAATGTCCAAATGCATGTTTCTCTGTAAATATACACATACATGCAGACATAGACACAAACACAATATGTATATGTTTACTGGAGTGCATGCTTAAATCACAACCAAAATAACAAAAGCCAGTGTACATTGCGTGCCTACTGTCTTCAGCATGTACCCTAAAGGTACTTCATAAGGCATTATTTTAATGTGTCCACATAAAATGATGCTAATGCATTATCCCCATTTTACCTAAGATGAAATCAAGTCACACTAAGGTGAAGAACCTTGCCCTGTATTATGTATATAGTAAGATTCAGAGCCAGCATTTGAACTAGGCTTTTCTGAGGTGCCGTATATAAACCAGGATTTGTGAAAAATGGTTCACTGGTTTATGGGGGTAATATTAGGACTTACACAGGTATTATGCAAAAAATATGAAAAGAATTGACCTCCACAAAGACTTAATGTACAGAATGATATGTGTACCATCTCATACCCTAGCCTGTATATTGGATGGTCATATGTCATGTATTGCAAAGGGGTTATCCCAAGGGAACAGGGAGTCCCACAACCACCACTGGAGAGTGGAGCCCTCTCTTGTCAGTCACCTTTCAGCAGAAGGTCATCTGTGCTTGGCTAAAAGAATAATGAATAACTTATCTCATTTTAATTAAATTAACCCTATTAAAACAGATAGGTGACTTAAAAATAATCCTTCAAAGAAACTATTAATTAAAGATAGAAGTAATAATCTAAACATGAGGAAAATGAGAAAACGGCAACACTGACGATGTCGGTACATACGTGAACATCAATGTGATTATAAAATAGGCTCCGAGACAGAAGCTAACGAGAGTAGGGAGCCATTATATTTAGCAAGACATTTAAAAACTAAGCAAGTAATAAACAAAATGAGTGTCTCTGTTGAGCAAATATTAAAGAAAATCCAGTTTGTTCTTGACAAAATAAAATCTATGACATCTGAAAGTTTCTCTTTGCATAATATAGGGAAACATTGTAATTGGATATACAGTTTTTAAAAAGGCTGAAATAACACATGCTAAACAATCTTGTGACAAACCGAACTATATTTTCTCATGAGTGAGTACTTACGGAGATACATACTAAAACATGGCTGAAGCTATGAAGAAACAGGGATGGAACCGAACCATGCCATGTGGAAGACTGACTACACAGTTGAATGGCAGTACAGTTGTTTCTAGCCTGTCTCAGCTTCTGGTTACTAGTTCATTTTTTAAAATAGCAAAACACACAAATATGTAACTTTAGCACTTGTAGTTATTAAACATTAAGGAAAAGAGGTGCCAGGGAATATAAGTTCTCAATAGCAACTGGTATTTTAAAAAATAAAAGCAAATTTCTATGAGTATTATATTTAAGTAACCAGTGATGAGGTGGCCACATTCACAAAAAATGTGTAGAAGGATTCCAAAGAAACTTTGCAACGCAACATCTTTCCATCCATTCATCCCTGCCTCACTCCCTATTAAAACCAAGAAGTTGAACCCAAGAGTGCATAAGATTCTGAGGATGGCATTGGCATACTGAATTTAAAAATAAAAGTCTAAAAGGTGTTTAAAACACAATTAATATTTAGTAGAATCCATATAATGCATTTTAACAACATAGAGCTTGACCACGCAAAATTCTTTTCAAGGAGGTTGTTAGTTATCTCGTGGCAAAGAACCACCGAAATTAAAGTTAATTTACGCACATTCTTTACAAGTGACCCAACTTTGCTAATCTTTTCTGTATCTACAAGGGGCTGTCAACAGTGTGCTATACAGAAAATATTTTTGAAAATAATATATGTAACCTGTCCCTGAAAGAAAAGGTGATGTTTTCAACATGACTGAGAAAAAGAAACACCAAAGGATCCTAAACACATGAAAAGATGCTCAACTTTGTTTAAAATTAAAAAGAAACATACAGCCAACTACATAGAATAACATTTCTCAAATATATAATTAGAAACAAAGCAAAAGCCTTGCGGCTCCCCTGTTGGGGAGGAAGTGGAGAGCCTGATACTGCACTTTGCAATTGCTGATGGGCATGGAAAGCGCACCACTACTGGGAGAGAAATTTGGAAACAGTAAAATAAATACACATTTTCCCTTTGGTGCAGTAACCCCTCTTCTAGGGAGCAGATCCCAGTAATACTCTGACAACAATATGAAAATACGGGTGCACACAAGTCTATTAGTTGTAGCAATATTTACAGTAAAAAAATGAAAACTTAGTGTTTGCCAGTAAGGAAAAAGTAAGCTATACCTACACAAAGGAATTCAATAATGCTATATATTTTTATATGTAAGAAAATATCTATATCGGACTAGGGAGTGATCTTTAAAATATAATAGGTACTATAGAGTGAAAAAAGCAAGGTAAAGAAAAATGTGTATAATCTACTTTCTACTTAAGAAGGTGACACATCTATACCATTTTTGATATCATCTATAGTATGTTTACCTATTTTTAAAATAGGTGATTGTTTTTAATAAACGTTTACCTTTGGGAGAGAAAAGGAATATTATTTACCTTTATTTATTTATTATTTACCTTTGGGAGAGAAAGAGAACGTAGATAAAGGGTGTATTTCTTTGAATATAGCATGTTTTGTAGCTTTTGCTTTGGAATAATGGAAATATTTTACATATTATGAAAACACAATAAATTTAAAAGCAATGAAAGGCCAGGTGCAGTGGCTCATGCCTGTAATCCCAGCACCTTGGGAGGCTGAGGTGGGCGGATCACCTGAGGTCAGGAGTTAGAGACCAGCCTGGTTAACATGGCGAAACCCCATCTCTACTAAAAATACAAAAATTAGCAGGGCATGGTGGCATGCACCTGTAGTCCCAGCTACTTGGGAGGCTGAGGCAGGAGAATCACTTGAACCCGGGAGGCCAAGGTTGCAGTGAGCCGAGATCATGCCACTGCACTCCAGCCTCGGCGACAGAGCAAGACTCCATCTCAAAAAAATAAATTAATTAATTAAAAAATTTAAAAAAAAGCAATGAGAAATACATATTCAATTGATGACATAACTATACATTAACTTATATGAGTTTATATCCCTATAAGGATATACCCTAATGACAAAACAAACTGCAAAAATCTTAACATTGTTTTCAATAATCACACTTAGGTGATGGTGTCGATACTGTAATACTGATACTGTTGTGGGTGCATTCCAAAGTAAGGCAAATGAGTAATTTTGTTGGTATCACTCAGTAACAGAATTTTTGCCAAGGGTGAAAGAAACAACAGTTGTAATATTGGTGACTTTTCAATGAAAATTTGGTAACACTGGATTTGAACTGAAAATGTTAGTATAACTAATATTGCATTTGTACTTAAAAAAAAAAAAGTCTCCTAGCTTATTCCACTAGGCCTAGAAACAGTAACCAACATGGTGACAATGAGCATTCCAAGCACCAAGACTTTTAAATACTATTTCCTACGAAAGGGAGCCAGAGGTCCTGAGAAAAATGGCTGCTTGCAGGTCATTCGGCGAGAATTACAAGAAAGGTCGAGAGCACCTTGGTACACTGCAAATCCTGACTAATGGGTGCAGGAAGGTTCACTGTAGTATTTTTCCTTACTTTTGTATGTTTGAAATCGTCTAAAATAAAAAGATACACATTAAAAGAAAATGGGTTCAAAATGAACTGATAACTAAAAAGATAGAGTGTGAAGGGAAGACTTGAAAATGTGTGTTTAGAAATGTTTCTATTGTTTGTGGCTTTGTGAAGGCAGAAGGCTTACCAAAACAAAATTGTCACATTAAAAGCATTACAGAGTTTTCCAATCTGTAAATAATAAACTTCACTAGATTTTGGATGCTTTTGTTAAAAAGAAAGGCACAATAACTTTCAACAAGTTTTCCTTAACAATATGTTAACATATATTATGTGAATCTTAGTTTTAAAAATCATTGCATTATTGGTAGATATGCTTAAAAGTGAGTATCATAATTTACAAAGTCAACAAAGAAATTAATTTATTCCATTTGGATCTTTTTATCATTTGGAGGTATATTTTTCAGCTATAATTGACATTAAAACTAAATCTTGAAATAAATTGAACTTAAAACCTCACCATTGAGTCAAGGTATCCCATAGTTTCAAATTAAGTTTTGAAGAATTAATGAAACATATTTAGTCACATTGCAGTCATTTATACATAGAGAGAGATAGGAACTTTTACTTCACTCCAGGTACATAAATTACCTCAAACTAGATTAATGACCTAAATACAAGAGGTAAGCTATTGGTAGAAAATATGGAAGCAAATCATCATGATCTCAGATATGGCAATGAAGTCTTTTGTTTGACACAAAAAGTATTAGCAACAACAACAAAAACAGATAAATTGCATTTCATCAAAACTAGAAACTTTTGTTCACCAAAGGACGTTATGAAGAAAGTGAAAAGACAACCTATAGAATGGGAGAAATATGTGCATATCCTATATCTGGTAAGGATCCAGTATCCAGAATATATAAAGAACTCTTACAACTCAACAACAAAAACATAACTCAATTTAAAAATGAGCAAAGAAAGGACTTGAACCGACATTCTTATAAGGAAGAGATATGAATTAAGATAATCAACATCACAGTCATTAGAGAAATGAAAATCAAATCCACAATAAGACACCACTTCACACTTACTAGGATGACTAGTTAGAAACAGTAACAAGTGACGACAAGAATGTGGAGAGAGAGAAACCTGGGACATTGCTACACTGCTGGTGGCAATATAAAACGGTACAGCAGCTGTGGAACACAGTGGGCAGTTCTCCTAAAGGTTAAACTTCGAATTCTGCTTCTCGGTATATATCCAAGGTAAATGAAAGCAAATGTTCATACAGAAACTTATATATGAATGTTTACAACGGCATTATTCATAATAGCCAAAAAGACGGAAACAACACAAATGCCCATCAGCAGATGAATGGACACACAAATTGTGGGGTATCCACACAGTGGAATATTATTCAGCCACAAAGAGGAAAGAAATATTCATACACGCTACAACTTGAATAAACCTCAAATACACTATGCTAAGTGAAATAAGGCAGACACGAAAGGTCACCTATTGTACGATTTCTTTTATAGGAAATACCTACAATAGGCAAATCCATAGAGAAAGAAAGTGATTGGTGGTGGCCAGGGCTAGGACAGGGGGTCACAGGCAGTGATTAGCTGGGTAGGAGGTGTTCAGAAAGTTTTGAAGCCAGGCAGAGGTAGTGGTTGTGCAACATTGTGAATGCACAAAATGCCACTGAATTGTACACTTGTAAATGGTTAATTGGTTACATGAATTTCACTTCCATTAAAATGTATATATGTAATAACAGTATAGTACAAGTAAAGGGTGCTTTGTAATGTGAAAAGATAAAATATTAAGTAGTTCAGGTTTATCTCATTCTGCTTTCTTTTTCACATATGTTATTTTATATATATTGGGTATGTGTTCAACATTTTGAGTGATAGAGGTATACGATTTAAAAATTAGGTAATACTGCTCTAGTTCCACGGTAACAAATCTAGAACATGGAGAGTGACTCTAACCCACAGAAAAACTTAGTATACCTTGGCTGAATAATATTGACAAACTTATTCTCAATGCCTTTATGCAAATAATGCATTTTCCAGTTCAACACAATTCCTTCATTCCCCAGAACTTTTATCTTTTGCGATCCAAACATTAATGTTTCATATCCAGCAATGATCAAATTTAAATTCTTCTGCTAGGGTTTACGTATATCTAAGCCAGTTTTACATCAATAATTGTTCTTCTGTTCTTCATTAGCATTAGAGATGGAGAGAAAACATGCTAGACTTACCCACACAAGGCAGGGAGTAGCCAAGTTGAGGGTCGTGAACAAACTGCCGATCATTGAGTCTTGTCACACAGTATAAGTGGAAACAGTCTAAGCAAATCACGTGGCGGGAGTTGCACTGGAAAACCAGGACGGGGCTCCTGCAGAGAGAAAGGAAGATGTTTCCTCTAGTACCTGTCAGTGTGGAAAGGCAGCACGTGCTTTAGACCAATTTCTGTAATCCTGGAGGGTTGTGTAGACTGTGCTCTGTGCAAAGACCGGAGCTGCTAAGCATTAAGCTCATGTATACCAACACAACATCTTAAAAATTGGAGGCACTCAATGAACTACATAGAAAACTGATTCTCCTAATTTTACATTTTTTATGTTAACACATTTATCAATCTTTTGATTAAACCTGAGCTAAAATATAATCTCTTTCTGGAAGTCTTCCCTGACTCAGAATTCCCAATTAACCTATCAAATCATCCCATCTGCTTGTATATATTTCTATTGATCCGTTATTACACCACAGTATTCATATCTTCTCCTTTCTCATAGACTGTGATCTCCTGGAAAGTAGTTCCTATGTTTATTTTGCTATTCCCATAGTACCAGGCATTGTAAAGTTTTAAATGAATGTTTTAAAAATTTAAATCTTTAAAACATTTTAAATATTTTTTTCCTCCAAAGTATTTTAAGGGAATCAAAAAAATTTAGGACTTGTATATAGTGATTTACTAGTAATCCCATAAACATAATTAGAGAAAATTCAACAGTGAAATAACAGATTTTCAAAATTCTGCTATCCCACTTATTTTAAAGCAATATGTAATACAAAACAAAGAAAATAAAATTCCTTGGTAATTTAATTATAACTATGTTATAACAATAGAATCTGAATTTCCCCACTATCAAAAGAAAAATTACTATTGCATCAAAGTAAAAACGTTAAACATTTTCTCACATTTTATTGGCAAATAAAAAAGTAGAATTTAGGGATAAAAGGTTATCCAACAGGGATTCTTCTACTGCAAGATTTTGTCTATTGTGCCATCTCGAAACCATCCAAATATTCAGTTTCTCAGAGTATGGTTATGGGATTACTAATTAATCAATATATATAAATCCTAATTTTTTTTATCCCTTTAAAATACTCTGTAGAAAAAAAAATCTTAAAAGCCATGTATTTTTACTGGAAAACGAACCACACAAGTTTATGTCAAACAGGAGACAAGCTCAATACATGAATTTGAAATCAGCCCCAAGGCGATTTTAATAGTAAGAAAGTTATTGGAGTCTATTTAGATAAGCCTATTTCCTATGTAATTGTAACAAAATACAAAATAAACATGTTCATTTTATACCCAATCTTTAACGCCTATAAGAGCTCTTCAAAAGCCCTTTTTCTAGAGAAATGAATAATACTAATAATATAAAAGATAATTTCTTAACACCTAAAAGATTTTCAAAATTCTGTTATCCCACTTACTTCAAAGCAATATGTAATACAAACAAAGAAAATACAATTCCTTGGTATTTTAATGCCATGGATGTGTAAGTAATCGGTCAACTTAATCTGAGCAAGGGCGCACCTAAAGGTGCGGCTTCTCCTTTCCCCTCTTGGAACCTATCCAAGTCCTTCATAATGCTTTCCTATTTCTAACCAAACAGTCACTCGCATACACATGCTCAAGCACACACATACTTTTTTCACTTTGCGACCCTATGAAGCTGCTGTATTCTACCTTTTTCTCTCACAGCTGTTATGTGAAAAATATTCTCCATCTTGCTTTCAGCAACATGGTAGACTAAAACCTTTATAGACCTCCCAATCTGCTACTAATTCATGGAGAAAATATTAGAACATTTATGAAAATGTGCCTGTATATAACAAAGTTAAAAAGAAAGCTTAGAGGCCAGGCGTGGTGGCTCACGCCTGTAATCCCAGCACTTTGGGAGGCTGAGGCAGGCGGATCACGAGGTCAGGAGATGGAGATCATCCTGGCTAACACAGCGAAAGCCCGTCTCTACCAAAAATACAAAAAATTAGCCCGGCGTGGTGGCGGGCGCCTGTAATCCCAGCTACTCAGGAGGCTGAGGCAGGTGAATGGCATGAACGCGGGAGCTTGCAGTGAGCCGAGATCGCACCACTGCACTCCAGCCTGGGCTACAGAGTGAGGCTCTGCCTCAAAAACAAACAAACAAAAAAGCTTAGAAATGACCCTGTAGAGGAAACATAAAGAAAACTTACAGAGCCTAAATGGTCAGCCCACGAACTCCCGCCACAGTGGCCCAGAAAGCCATGGCTGCGTGGTATGCGGCCATCAGTGTAGCTTCTGCAGGCTTTTCCATTCCTGTTAGAAGAGTTCTCTCTCACATGGATGGACAACAGCACACTTCTATAGTTGTCTCCTTCAGTTTTAATATGATCCCAAATGACTCATACCATCTAGACAACACATGGAACATCAATTGTCCTACTCTATTAATGACATCCTGCTATTTGGAGAACATTAACAAGAAACAAGCACTACGTTGGCGGCCATGGTGTGAAATCAACCCTGTGCAGTGACAGGAGCCATTAGGGACATTAGGGAAAGTTTAGAGGTCCAAGTCTTGGGGCCTGGAAGTGCACACCTTCCAATATAAATAGTCCATCTTACCCATCCTGCAACTGGCAGTGAAGCATAGACAGCTGCAGATGCGGTGGGTCCAGAGTTTTGGTTCCCACAGAGTGAAGTGTATCTTCCTAGGGACACAGGAAGAGTCCTACTGAAAACTAAGCTACAGCTGCACCAGGCCACCTCAACCTCCTTGAACTGAGGATGTCTACCTTGAATAAAAAATAGGAGAAATTGGCACCAGGTAACAGTGGGTTACCAGAGAGTGAGCAGTGAAGGGACTAGCATTGGAAGTGAAGACAGAGACTCATGTAACTCCCTTGAAGAAACGCCACTGCCCAGACGCAGGTGTGGAATGCAACCGGGGAAGCTGGAATGTTGTGTGTGTTTCTGCATGTCCTCTTCGGAAAAGAAAGAAATTTACAAGTTACAGGGAGTCAAAAATGATAAATGAGTCATTCAGGAATTCTGATTGTCTATTACTATACATACACAGTCAACTTGGATATATACCTATATACAGATATAGATAAATGATAGATACAGATATCAATATATGAATGTATGTGCTAAGATACACAGATGAAGATATAGAAAAGTATATATGCTGCCTTTATACACACACACGCACATACACAGATAATGTTATAAAGACGGTGTATATGTGCATTTCACATAGAATTATCAGTCACCTGGAATTCTTGATACAGCTGTGAGCTAAGATTGCTCCTCTCCTATTAAGATATTCCTTGTAGTTTTGGAAAGTTAGGTGAGGAATAAACATGACACCAATAAAAAGTTATTAGATTAATCACCTAAGGAAAGGAGTAAAAATCTTTTCATGGCTAGAAGGTCTACATCATTAACTTCCTAAATGCTAAATCAAAGAGGAGGGGAAAGCTAGTGTTTATGGGCACCTACTTCGGGTTAGGTGGCTTGCTAGGAACTTCGCAGACTTCCTTTCATTTCATCCTCGTAAAATAAACTGCCCCTCCCCTACCGTCCATCCTGTTCTCTCCGCACCTCCGTCCCCTCCAGCTGGGAAGGTCCTTGCGTAGCCTAGGATTCTTCTAGTTCCTGTACACCTAGATGCATGCTCTTTGCCATCTAGTCTCACGGTAATACTCACCTTCATATTCAAAGCCAAATCACAAATTCCTAGGTCCAGTTCAAGACTAAAGATCTCCAAGGAACTTTCTCTGGAGCCTAACACCTCACTGCCTCTTCCCTTTTTCTTTACCTTTCTTCAATAGTTATTTAAAAAGTTCATCTGTAATGTACTTCAATACTGGCCTGACTTTTGTTTAAAGTGTTTCATATACTCCTTCCTTAGCTATCAACATTAAATGAAAAGTCATGAAATTGTAGAGACCCTACTTGCTTAACCCTTTCATGACCCATGCCTCATCAAATACAATGCTGAGCACCTGATCGTTTTGTAATCAAGAGTTATTGATTATTCTAGTGGATAAATGAATGGGTCACTATTTTTGTAGTTTCTCATACTTTTATAATTTCTCTGCTCTCATTTACATGTTGTTCACTAAATTTCTTATTGAACATCTACTTTGACTAAAGTAGGCACTTAGTAAATGCATGTGGACTACAGCACCCAGTGAGTGGATAAATACCTTATAGTTATACTTGGCTTACACAATCACAGGGCGTAGTTGAGAGACATAAGATTACCATGGAACAAGTATTACAAGGAAGTATCTGTAATCCCCAAACTCTGGGAGCCCGAAAGTTAGGAAAAGAGAATTATTGAGTCAGGATGGATCCATTAGGGAACTTGAATTGAATTTAAAGAAACGGGAGGATTGATGTTTGGTCACTGGAAAGAAATGTTGTTTCTAAGCAGGAAGGAATCACAGACATGCAAGTATGCTTGGAACAGAAGAGAAATCAGGTGGGCTGATCAAAAAGATGTATCAGGAAAATGGTGGGGGACAAGATGAAAAGAGTTGAGAACAGAGGAGATTCTGGCCAGGGATCAGGGTTGACTCTAGGAGACACACCTAGCATAAGGCCTCTAGACTGTGGGATTCACTGAAGGTTTCTGCTATGGTCTGAATGTTTGTGTTCCCCAAAATTCGTATGTTAAAATCCTTATCTCCAAAATGATGGTGTTAGAACACGGGGTCTTTAGGAAGTGAATGGTGTGAGAGAAGAGCCCTCATGAATAAAATGAGTGCCCTTTTAAAGAGACCCCGGAAAGCTCCCACACACGTTCCACCATATGAGGACACAGTGAGAAGCCACCGTCTATGAACCAGGAAGTGGGGATCTCACCAGACACTGGATCTGCCAGTGCTTTGATCTAGGACTTCCCAGTCTCCGGAACCGTGAGAAATAAATTCCTGTTGTTTATAAGCCACCAGTTTATGGGATTTTGTTATAGCAGCCAGAATGTACTAAGAGAGTTTTTAAACATGGGAAGGGAATGATGTTTTAGTAAGTTTAGCTCCGACAGAAGTATGGAGGGAAAGCTGGAAGTAGTGAGAACTACTTGAGGTCATTTTGATAATTTAGACATGAGTTACTAAGAACTGGACTATGATGTGCAAATGGCTCTGGGAGTGGAAATGAGAAGAAGAACGGGTGACATTTCAGAGCAGGACCCGCCAGGACTTATCCTCTCATGGGTCTTTTGTTCCTCCTGACATTCCTGTGTGCCCTTTGCTCTAATTATCTACATATAAATGTTAATTGATCGATCCAGAGATGATTTCACCCCAATGGGCCAGGTTAAAGAGCGGTAAATTAAAGGTTAAGTAAAGTTCTCAATTATATATAAAAAGACTTATAAATGCTTTCCTTGACAATGCCAAAGAGTTATTTGTAACCAATGATTTCTCTGTTTTGATAAAAAGCGACCCTTTGTTTGCAGAATATTTAAGCACAATTGAAGGAGTTTGAGTTACAAATAATGTGGCAAGTCATTCACATACATTAAAAAAGTAGAATATGGTTACACAGTGTTCCAAATATTTAAATTCTTGTAAAGTTAGTATTCTAGCATCTACAAAAATAGCATGCGAGTTTTTATGTTTATCTAGAAAAATGTGCAATTTACTCTGCTGTCCACCTTGTTTGTTCTCTCTCATTTGCCCTCCTTCACACACTCTCTGGCAAAATCTGTCTGTTTCTCTTTCTCTCCATTTGCCTGATTCTTTCCCATGTGTACATCTTCATTTATACTCATTAAGAGAGAGGCTGTGGATGAAATGTGACATATATCGAAAGCAATGTGCCAGATATTTCAAGCTATGCAAAGATGAGGAAGCAAATCTAAGCTCTCAAGGACATATAAATCCAGTAGAGTGGGCAGGAGAGGGAAACAAATACTTACTATACAGGACAGAATATTTTAAGTCATGTTAGAGAGATAGGATATATTGCCACGCTCACGCTCTGGGGTAAGCAGCCTTCAAGATGTTCTCCAGTGAGCTCCACCTCCTCTGTAGTTCCTCTCCACATTGAATGGATTGACTCACATGCAATAGGAAAAGTGCAGAAACGGCAATGTGTGACTTCCAAGAGTAGGTCAGAAAAGACACCGCAGCCTCTGTCTGTGCTCTTACAGATCACTTGCTCTGAGGAAAGCGAGCAGCCATGTTGGGAGGACACTCAAGCAGTACTATGGTGAAGTCCATGTAGCAAGAAACTGGGGCCTTCTAACAACAGCTGGCATCTACTTGGCAGCCAGTTGGCAAGCCCTAGGATGACTGAAGCCCTGGCTGATATTTTGACTATAACTGCATGAGATACCCTGAGCAAGAACTATCCAGCTAACTTGCTCCCAAATTCCTGACCTGCTGAAACTGTGAGAGGCAATGTTTATTATTTTCTTCAGCCACTAAGTTATGGGATACTTTGTTATTCAGCAATATCTAACTAATTCAGGTTCAGAGGAGGAGGAGGTCATATATAGGTTGAAGACCAGAAAAGAATTCATGAATGTAGGGGCATTTGAAAAACGGTCAGGATTCCAGTGCATAAAGATGCAGACAACACCTGAGGTCAAGAGAAAAGAATGGAGCTGTGAAAGCACAGAGCAGGAAAAGAGAATGCTCAGTTATCAAGAGTGGCTGGTTTCTTCATTCTCCCCAGTGGAAAGCAAAGTTATTACATATGTATGAAGAGCAGCAGCATCTGAAATGCAATGAAAAGCAGCACAAGTTAAAATAAAAATATTACGTGCAAAATCCTTGAGGAAATAAAAACTAAATTTCCTCACTTGAGGGAGAGAGTCTTGCAATTTAGCTAACACTTGACCCTTGAAAATTCACACATTGTTTCCACTGTTCTTAGTTTGTGCAATAGTAACACAGAAGTCATGCCCCAGTTAGCAATCTTTCAAAGCTCTCTGCAAACTCCACACATGGAGAACTATGACTCCTGGGCATTTAACACAGTATTTGATTAGATAAAAGTAATTAAAAGAGGAAAGCTACACCATTAAAAAACATGAATTTATCTTCTTAACGACTGTCACTTTAAGCCCCTTTTAGTTAGAGATGGCTTATAAACAAGAAATAAATGACTGAAATCTCAGAGACCAAATGCATTTTAATTTGATCTATATTTGGCAAAATTACATACTAATTGCCAAAGTGCACGACTGACAAAGAAGTAACCGGCACAGCGCCTGCCCACAACAATGCCAGAGAGAGCATTTCAGCCCACGTGGGTCGTATGAGTTCATTATTTGAATTAGCCAAGTGAGCAACCCCCCTCACTGGAGAGGAGCCTGCTCCGAGATACTAATTGATAGACTCAACTTTTAGAAATTAACATAAGCTTCAACAGTTGAATGATCTTCAAAATTCCTTCCAGCAGCCAAGTCTAAAATCCTGAAATCAGTTCAGTTGTCCATTGGCCTGCTTAGAATCACAGTCCTATTAAGGCACTGGCAGATCCTGAATCAGCTCACTAACTACCCCTTCTGGTTTTTCTTGCCTCCTCTGCTCATGTTCTCCCTGTTTTATCCAGTCCACTCTGCTGCATGGAAGAGGGTTTACTTTGGTTCTGTAAGCTTATTTGCAGAAGTCCCAATATTTCAGCATATACAACGTAGCCAAGGTAAAATTCATTTATGTCTACATTTTTGAATCACTTTTATTCACCCATTCTGCCAACACAGTGGACCGGCCACTAGATGCCAGGCAGTGTCATGTCACATCCTATAAAAGTGAACAAGAATGTTCCATCTCCTCAGGAGGTCACAGTCTATAGAGTTGAAGACAAATAATTAATTATTCATAGTGTGGTAAGCACTACCATAAGGATGAATTTGGAGACACCTAGCCTATCTCTGGGGTTGGAGGAAGGGCTCCCAAGATAGCTCATGGCTCAGTGCATCCAGTCTATATAGTGAGAAGAGGCTGAACAAACTAAATGGCTTTTCCTGTTTATAAAGGTTTTTAACAAATTACTACATAAAATAATATTGTAAATATGTTACAAAGGATTATGAAAATATAAATTCTCTATCTCCTTTCCTAAGAGTTCCCTTCTCCTCTTAAATTCTCATCCAGTAAGTCAACATCCCATCTGGGGTATTCAATATTGTTAAATTCAAGAGACTTTCTAACCTCGGTGTTTGTTTCCAAGTTTGACTCTGCTGCTATCTGCCCTCGGCACTCTGTGGACCCTCCTGTCAGGCACGTTCCCTTTCACTCCTGGGCAACGACTTGATTTTATGCATCTCGTGGCATTGGCTTGTGTCTACCTGGAATTTTTTTATTTAAAAGTTCCCTATCAAATTAATTATGTTCCCATTGATAGGTTAACTCATTTTATTTACTGTCATGAAAGGAAATAGAAAAGTTTCAAGTAACAGCCACTTTTTCTGTTGCAGACATACTCCCTTCAATATATACCTGCTGAGGTTGAGAGTCTGCAACACAGGTGCTATAAAAATAATTGAGTCAAGATTTAGGAGTGGCCACGGTGCAGTGTGCCCCAGAGCAATGGATTAGGTCTCATGAGTGTTGGCGGAGTCTGAATTCTCACGAGCGTCTGTCTGGCCAAGACCTACATCAGCACCGAGGCTGTCTCCATCCCCTCTTCCCTCCCTGGACCCCCTGTCTGATCCCAGCAGCTCACCCCAGCAACACTGTTCTAAAGAGGCTTCCATCCTGACAGTTCTTGGCCCCAAAATATGAACTAGTTTCGCAGTGCCCATGTATTAAGGCCTCAGGTTTTTCTTCTATCTTTTGGAGCCTCCATAAGCTGGATTCACCCTATGGAATGTCTTTCCCTCTTTCCCATTCACGAATCCCTCTGTTTCTCTCAAGTCAGTCTCTTTGCTGCTTTCTTCCTTATGCTCCCATCCCTACAGGCAAGACTCCTCCTCTTAGTCCTTATTCCCCCCAAAACTACAAGGTTCAGCTGAGGCGCAACCTCCCCCATAAGCTTTTTCAATAAAACTCCAGATAACATCGATGTGCTATTCACTGTCTAATTTCTTGTAATGTTTACATTTAGAAAGTATTGCTTTTATATTTAACTTAGCATTTTTTTTTTGAGGTGGAGTCTCGTTCTGTCACCCAGGCTGGAGTGCAGTGGCGCGATCTCAGCTCACTGCAAGCTCCGCCTCCCGGGTTCACGCCATTCTCTTGCCTCAGCCTCCCGAGTAGCTGGGACTACAGGCACCCACCACCACACCCAGCTAATTTTTTGTATTTTTAGTAGAGACGGGGTTTCACCAAGCTAGCCAGGATGGTCTCAATCTCCTGACCTCATGATCCACCCGCCTCGGCCTCCCAAAGTGCTGGGATTACAGGCATGAGTCACCGTGCCTGGCCTAACTTAGTATTATTACATGTTATTTGTATTACTGTTTTCTTTTCTTTTTTTTTTTTTTTCTTTTCTGAGACAGGGTCTCACTCTCTAGCTCAGGCTGGAGTGCAGTGGCGCAATCTCGGCTCACTGTAGCCTTCGTCTCCCAGGTTCAAATGATTCTCATGCCTCAGCCTCCCAAGTAGCTGGGACTACAGTCACCTGCCACCATGCCTGGCTAATCTTTCCTATTTTTGGTAGAGATGGGGTCTCGCCATGTTGGCCAGGCTGGTCTTGAACTCCTGACCTCAAGTGATCCGCCCGCCTCAGCCTCCCAGTGCTGGGATTACAGGTGTGAGCCACCGAGTCCAGCCTCCTTTGTATTGTTTTCTACCTGCTTTATGAACCTGCACCAGGTCTCTCCAACTCAAATTCAACATATACTAATTGGAAGGCTACTATGCACCGGTCCCTGCACTAGACCTGAGAGGGGGATGCAGCTGTTGCTCTCAGGAAGTCTGTCTGATGATGAGAAAACTCAGTCAGGGACACCTTGGAAGATCTAATAAGAGGCCACTCAGTCCAATGTTGGTCAGGCACAGGATATTTCCTGAAAGAAGGAAAATACAAACTAAGGCCGAAAAAGCAAAAATGAGTTAGCCTGACCAAGAAACTATAGGGAAGTGGGAAAAAGATGTGAAAACACTTCAGATGGAGTAAAATTAGGTAAGATCAGGGAACCATGCTGTATACGGTATTTTCATACTGTCTTCTCAGGCTTTATTAAAGTCCCAAATTCTTCCAGAAATTAAAAATTATATTAAAATATAATGATAATGCTTCTATAAGCCACATACATAAATCTGCGTTTTAGGTTTATATAATATCCCAAGTGTGGTTGAATTGGGTTCCATTGTTTACAACATTTTGAGCCATTGACAATAAACTGGCTACGCAAAATAGAAATACAAAGCCACGATTACAAGATGGAATTAATGTATTATTAATTTTCTCCAGATGATTTCAGTCCTGGAAGATACCCATTTGCCTTTAGTCTAATTTGTGTATTGCATTTCTAAATATAATTACTGTTGACAGGTTGAACCCAAACATAACCCATTAACTTCTCAAAGTGCTAGATTGAAAACATTACAATGTAACAAGAGATATTAGAAATAAAAAAATTAACTTCTGTTCTTTTTAAAAAGTAAGTTAAAAGCAAAGATGTCAGTCCTGTTTTGTAGTAATTTGTTAGAATGATTTGGTTTACCCTAGCTTTCTTGCCGAGGCTTTTATACTAGAAAACAGACACTGACATGTAATTGTAAATAGTGGATAAATCATAATGAAATAATTGTTGCGTGTAAAAAGAAAAGAAAAGAAACTAAAAATTCCAAAGGGTATTTGGCCCATGGGAGAAAAACGCAGCTCATAAAAAATTATCACGATACTTTCCTATCCCCCAGTTAATGGAGTTATGTTTTTTCAAGGATGCTCAAAATTACGTTTATAATAGTCCAAGTTCTTCAGACTCTAATTTCAGGTCACATTCTATTCAGACTGTCGATATGTATAACTAAAAAAAGCTCAAGCCAGATTTAACATAAAATAGTTTCTGGGTCATATCATTTGCACAGAGCTGTTATGTGGCACAACTATTTAGCTGTTGGAGATGCCATCTGTAATACATACTAACTCATGCACATATCTTGTCTTTGTTTTTGCCTCTGTGCAAAACAGCTAGAAGCAGATAATGCCCAGATCCACTGCAAAAGCATTCTGCTAAATTGAGAAAGATATGAAGACAGATCTTGTTTGGATAAGAACCCCACTGTGAAATAAATTGTTCTGATGTATCCCCAAACCTCATGACAGGAAGAATTAATGTGCTAAGAATCAGTCCAGTGGCCATAAATGTTAGAAGCTATTTAACATAAGAAATTATTTCAGACACAGAGTGGTTTTAAAAAGATACATCTTTTGCTGTTGACTCACCAAAACCCTGCACAAACAATTGTGTACCGGTTTTTCATTCATTCTTAAAATGAATGAATGTAATCGTATGCTGGGTCTTTTCTTTTCTTTTTATTCTTTCTTTCTTTCTGTTTTTTTGAGACAGAGTCTCACTCGGTCACCCAGGCTGGAGTGCAGTGGCACGATCTTGGCTCTACAACCTCCGGCTCACTGCAACCTCTGCCTCCTGGGTTCAAGTGATTCTTGTGCCTCAGCCCCCTACGTAGCTGGGACTATAGGCACACACCACCACATCTGGCTAATTTGTGTATTTTTAGTAGATGGGGTTTCGCCATGTTGGCCAGGCTGGTCTCAAGCTCCTGACCTCAAGTGATCCACCTGCCTCAGCCTCCCAAACTGCTGGGATTTAAAGGCAAGAGCTACTGTGCCCAGTGGGCCTTTTATTTCTTTTATTAGAGGAATATTTAAAAATCAGGTTGTCTGAAGTAGAGTGGTTTGAAATGAGGAGTCTGCCGAAAAGATTGTAGACATCTTAAAACAGTTCAACAATGAAAATGTCTCAACATGAGAAGGTACTGTGAAATTTCTAAGGTATCATTAGATGAGTTCAGCATTAAAATATTGACATAAGAATTTCTGGCATATAGTAGATAAAATTATTTTCCCAACTTAGTTGTTTTTGCTTGTTTTACGTGTATCCAGAAAAGGATTGTATACCATCCCAAAGTATTTTCCAAAATATAATAAAAATCAATATGGCATAACAATACAAATCAAAATGAATTCAGAGCCAGGCGCAGTGGCTCATGCCTGTAATCCCAGCACTTTGGGAGGCCGAGGTGGGTGGATCACCAGGTGAGGAGATCAAGACCATTCTGGCTAACATGGTGAAACCCTGTCTCTACTAAAACTACAAAAAATTAATCGGGCGTGGTGGCACGCACCTGTAGTCCCAGCTACTTGGGAGGCTAAGGCGGGAGAATGGCTTGAACTCAGGAGGCGGAGGTTGCAGTGAGCTGAGATCGCACCACTGCACTCCAGCCTGGGTGACAGAGGGAGACTCCTTCTCAAAACAAACAAGCAAACAAACCAAACCAAACAAACAAAAAAAATGAGTTCAGGTGCAAACCCAAGATAAAGGAATTCATGCAAAGATGTGACTGTCCACCCAGCACATGGGATGCAGCTGGTGGTTGAGCGAGGTTTGTAAAGAGCCCTAGGAGGGTGGTGTGAGCCGGCTGCAGCATTAGCTGGCCTCAGAATCCCATTTCTGTGAAACGAGGACCTGTGACATCAGCAGGTTAGATGGGACCATCTCCAGAGACTTTCTGGATATAGAGGTATTGCCATCTTCAATTTATATGATCACAACATTTCTTTTTTATCGAAAGCTTGTAGGACTTAATCCTCACTTGAAAGCACATACAAAGCCTATTCATATTTTGGATTTCACCTTTCTTGAATTAATGCATATGCTGCAAGCAAGGGTGAGAAACTGGAGATTTCTAGAGATTTTACTCCCTGGGAGACTTATGAGAGGGAGATCTTGATCCAGAGTATTCCAGGAAGATCAGAAAAGATGTTTTGGTGTTAAAAACAAAAAAGGCCACAAAATATTACATATAGCTTTTAGTTTTAAGGCTCCTTTGTTCTTTTTTCAACTAAGTCAGCTGATCACCAGGGCCAGGCACGCTTACATGGAAGAAGAGCCTGTGCAGACAGGCTCCCTGGGTCAGCCTGGGCCTCCCTGGGTCAGGCGCCCCTCCACTGTGCTCGGGGCTCCCCCACACACTGCCCTCACCCTTTTCATCACAGGTCCCCGGGGTACTCACCCACTGGCTTCAATGTCTATGTTCTCGCCAGACTAGAGGCCAGAAAACTGGGATTTGGCCCTCAGACTGCTTTTGCCAATAAAGTTTTATTGGAAGCCAGCCATTTTACATATTACTCGTGGCTGCTTTTGTGCCATAATAGCAGCATTCACTAGCTGTGACAGGTCCTAGATGGGCCACCAAGCCTAAGTTACTTCCTATTTGGCCCTTATCAGGACATGTTTGCTTATTCCTGTTCGAGGCTGTTGACTCCACAAACACAGGGCTATCTTTCTGTATTCCCAATGCCTGGCCTGTGGCTGGTGTTTGGTCAATGTTTATGTTCTCAGTGACTGACAGTTTGACTCAAGGAATGAATGACTATCAAGGAACAGGGACAAAAGCGAGGCAAACAACAATTTTTGCAGTGTCCAGAGGTCTGCAGTAGATGACTGGTTTTGAGCTAAGCCATTCAACTGCTGTCAAAAGCTGAAAACACCATCTCCCCCCATCTGCCAGAGTTAGGCTCATCCGTTCAGAGAGCTGAGTCCAGTTTGGAGAGCACCCAATACTTGCGACTTCCACATAATGGAAAGGAAAAGGCACAAGAACTTTGAAGAGGGCAAATAGGACAAAGAACATATTGATTCCCTTATTGAACAAAAATGTACTGCATGCCTACTATGGGCCAGGCACTTAGCATTCAGGATGTCATTGTCTCTTCAGATTGGAAGGGATAGGTATTAAGCAAACAAGTAAAAACTAGCAATGAAAAGTGACAGCAAGGAAATGCCATGGGATCATGTGATAGTGCTGGTGCACTGCCCATGCTGGGTGGCCTGGGAAGGCCTGGGGATGGGACATTTGCATTGCCATCTCAATGACAAGCCATGTGCAGGTCTGGCGTAAGAGGGTTTGCAGGGAAGGAGCAAGTGGAAAGGCACTTAGGTAGGAATGCTGGGCATTTGTGAAGAATTAATCAGGGGGTTAGTGTTTTGGGGACACAGTTACCAAGGAGGCAGTGGAGCAAGATGAGGTCTGAGGAGATGAAGGAAGCCACATGGGGCCTTTAAGACATACTCAGGAATTCAGCGCTTGGACAATGGCAAGTCAGGACAAAATTTTAAGTAGGGATGCAACATAATACCATTTATGTTTTAAAAAATCACTCTAACTTGAGGTAACGAATGGACTGGAGCAGGGCTACAAAGGAAGGGAGATGCATGGACATGGTGAAAGCCATCCAAGTAAGAAAAGAGAGTGCCGTGGATCAAGCAGTGGAGAGGGAGAGGCAACGACAGGTAGACAATATGTTTGGGGCAATCGAGTGCTTGATGTCTCCTACCTAGCTTTGCTTTCCTACTACCATTTGCAGATTTCTCGCTTTTTAGGAAATCTCAGAATCATGCCCCAACATCCATGGGTTCATGGTTCTAAAAGTCACACCTTTCATATTACTTTAAATGGAAATGAACCCTTTCTGGTTCTAAGCAAATTTAAAATCTTTGCTTAGAGCCCAGATTAAATGATAATGAGCCTGGTAACAAAATACTATATTAATACAGTTTTAAAACTATAGCTCCCTTTAAAAAACATCCACTGGATTGACTGATCCCCTCTACCATGCCCAGTGCTGGGCACAGAGCAGTGGGCATGGGATGCATGGGCTCTGCTCCCACTGATGACCTGTTGTGGGCAGTGTCTGGCCTATGAAGCCCCGTGAGGCTGTTGGGGGACCATAGCTGATATCTTCAACAGGGGAGTGACGGCACTGGGGGACAAAAGTGGGAGGTGTCAGATATTTAGGAACTAAAATTGTCAAGATTCAGAGACTCATTAACCAGAGTCAGAAAGGGGATTCAGGCACAATGTCTGGTGACTCTTCTCATCATTTAGTGAATGCTTCTAATGTGCCATGTTTCCTGCTAAGTGCTTTCTCGGCATCACTATTTTAATCTGCAGAATGATCTGCAGAATGATTCTGGAGGGCAGGGCCCACTCCTGTGTTTTCTCTGCAATCTCACTGCCTAATGCTGGGCCTGTACCTAGGAGGAGCTCCAAAAATAGTGGCTTAATGCATGAATGCATGGCTCCCCCACCCCTCCCATGACAACAACAGTGAAATCCCTACCATAGAGAAGGACACGGGAGGAAACGGAGGCCTAGGGCGCTATCAAACACCCACTGTCCACAGCCCACCGGTGACGGAGCAGGCACCAGAGCCAGCGCTGCATAAGTTCCACCCACATTCCTCAATTCCGCATGCCAGGGCCCGGCCTCTGCGGATGCTACGGACATTTGCTGACACAGTACAGTGACTGGAGGAGCAGCAGGGCTGGAAACTGAGTCTTCTGGTTCTAGGCTTGCTGAGTTTGAGATGGCTTTGGGATGTCCCAGCGAAGATGTGCAGAAGTCAGTTTAGTTCACGGTTCTTTCGGGAGAAAGATGGGGCTATAAAGGGCCTGGGGACCCATCCATGGAGAGATGGCAATCACAGCCATGGGAGCGGGTGGGGCCACCCCAAGGAAATGCTGAGATTACCGTGTGACTGATTTGATTACGGGGCTTTAACTTATTGAGCTATAAACATCGAACAGTGTCACGGTTTCTAAGACCTGCCTCTGTGCATCTGTCAAACACAGTGGGCAACAACCTAGAGTCCACGACTTTCAGCCACTTTTACCTGTGGCTGCTTTTCAGTTATGAAAATAATCGAACGGGCCTTAGATCAGCCGGTTTTAACCTTCCATCTCACACCTCACTGGAAGCTCTTTCTTCCCCACAGTCAAGACCAGGACCGGCTCCAGCTGCTTCAGATGTGAGGCGCAGGGAAGGCCTGTGCAACTGCGTGTGTCCAGGACTGGGCACCCCAGGTTTCGGGTGAACAATGGGATGTAATGAAGGGACCCCTCTTTTTCTTGTCTCCCACTGGAATCTGCTTGCATACAAGCAGGTATTTCTGGTTTTCATTCCTTCATTCAACTAATGGTTGTGCTGAGGGTTAAACAACAGGCAAGGCAGAGAAAGTTTCTCCTCAAATTGAACTTGCAGATTCACAAGGAAGGTGACATACACAAACAAGGAATTCGTGCTAAATGAAGTGTTACCGAGAGTTGCAAGAATGGAGAGGAGTAGAGAAGACTAAGGAACAGGCTGACCTAAGCTAGTGTCAATCTCAGCAAAGGCTCATTGGAGGAAGAGTCATTATTCTCCAAACAGCAACCAGAAGATGCTTTCAAAATCAAAGTTATAGCCTCTCACTCCTCTGCTCAGTCTCTGCAATGGCTCCCCCTGGTCATTCAGAAAAAGGTCCAAGTCCTAATGGTGACTTTAATCCATCCTCTAAGCCTGCCACACTGCCCCTTCTCTGTCCCTTAGCTCCTTCTCTTCTCCCACTCGCTGTGATCCAGGCTCAGTGAACTCTGTGACCCTCCCCACACAGGCCCCACATATGACACACACACACCCCACACAAGCCCCACATGACCCACACACGCCCCACACACACACCCCACATATGACCCACACACGCCCCCCACACACCCCACATATGACCCACACATGCCCCACACACACCTGGCTCCCAGCCTTTCTCCGGCTCCTCCTGTGCGAGCGTGCTTCCCCAATGGTCACGTGGCTCACACCCTGCCCTCCTGCAGCTCTTCCAATGTCTCCTTTGCAACGAGCCCCTCTAACCACCACCTGCTCATGTAAAACGGTGGTGACCCCACCCTACATTCCCACATTCCCAATTCCCATGGCCTGTTTTAGTCTTTGTCTCCATAACATCAATCACTTCCTATAGTAGATTTGCCTTCTTACTCGCAATGCCTCAACCCTCCCTGTTCCCCAGCCATTGACCTGACTTTGTCTTTCCTCAGTTAGAAGCTGCATATATTTCCCCATCCAGTTGATGGTGAGCTGAGCCACGTGGCTTTGTAGGGTGGCTGAATATGTCACCCCAAAATATGCCATTTTGGCCATATAATTACTTAAAGCTAAAGGCCCTTGAAAAAAACAGGTGATGTGAGAAGGGTGTTCTGATCTCCCCTTTTATACCTGGAAACAGGAGATGAAAACTCCCATGTGAAAGACACCCTCCTTGCATGAGGAGAAAAACCACTCTTCAATTGGGACTTATAGCAGAGTGAATTCTGCACAAACAGCCCTCATTAGGGTATGTATGCCTTATCTTCCCTTAGCCTCCAAACACTTGAGTTACTTTTCCACAATTGCCTCTGCTGGTTCAACCCAACACAAAAGAATGCTGGTTTTGCCACTTCTTTGGGTCTTCATTTCCTAATGAGGGCTCCTGTGTCACATAACGCTTTTATTAAACTTGCATGCTTTCCTCCTGTTCATCTGTTTCCTGTCTATTTCATTCTCAGGCCCAGTTGGGACTCTGGGTAGAAGAAAAGCTTTGCCTCCCCTGCAGCTTCCTTTGCCAATAGGATAGTAGTGTATGTGACATAATCCAGTACGTGGCATGTGCTTGTTTGGTGAGGCCTGCCCTTCTGAATTCCTGCCTTTCACCACGAGAAGAACTGTCCTTGGGTAGCCACTGGCTTAAGGATGATGGACTCATTGAGCAGACTGGAAACATCCACATTCACTGCCCGAAGCAGGGCCAAGCTCAGCCCAGCCCCAGCTCAACTCGGGTGGAGCCGAGAGGTGTGAGAAGGCTGGACGTAGTGTCAGGGGCCAGTGAGCTGCCCGGTTTCTTAGTACTCAGCCATAGCTGACCAGTGACCTTCTGTACAGTTACCGATTTATTAGATGTGTGACCTATTGTCTGTCTCTTATCACAAGAAGGGAAGCTGCATTAGGGCCGAGAGCTTTTCCGCACTGCTGCCTCCTAAGTTCCTGGCATGTGGCGGGTCTGCGACACAGATGCATTTCATAAAGGAAGCAAAGACCTCAAGTCCGAACCCCCACCAAAGTGAGAAGCAGGAGTTTGTCAGGTACTATTTCGCTAAAAGGAATGAAAGAAGATGGAACCAAAGAAGGAGGCGGTGTTGCCGATGTGTAGAGGTCAGAAGTGGGCCTGCTGCCATCAGACACATGGGGGGTGGCACAGCCTCCAGGTGACCTGCAGCTGCCACAGCAGGAGAACACTGACGGTAACACATAGCAAGTGCACGGACGCCTCAGGGACAGGTTTCAATGTCAATGAAGGTCATTATTGGCTGAGCAGCACAAGGGTTCCCTAACAATCACGAATAATGAAGAGCGCAGAGTATCCACCCATCTCCCAGGACACTGAGCCACCTGAATGCAGGCTCGACACCCAAGAGGAGAGAGGACAATGGGGCCTGAATGAACTTGGGGTGATGCAGCAGCAGAACTTGATCTATGAGGCTCTGGTGATGAGCAGTGTGGACACTGATAGGCAGGTGCTCAGATGCTGCCAGCTGTTTTTAGGTTTCAGAACAGAATCTTTGGGGCAGCTCCACCAACGTGCCTCGATGTAGGAGGAAGGCAAGGCTGGTGGCCTTCAGCTCTGGATCCTGCAAGGACATCTGAAATCTGCCTCTGCCATCTGCCTCTGAACTCCCTCTCCATCCCCTTCCCTCCCCTCCACTGGTGAGGTTGGACCCATAAGGAGAAGGAGAAGGTAACTTGGAAGGATTGAAGTAAACTCTGGTGTATTGAAGAGATTTGGAGACAAGGTTGACAATTCATAGAAAATAAATCATATATCTATTTTAATAACACTTAGCTATATATTAATTGGCAAACTCTGTTGCATCTACACATTGTCCCAACAATGCGTTTTAGAGTTCTGCAACAATAATAACCACAAAACACTGAAAAAGTTTCAAACATCTTCCAGCACTTGGAAACAAATTCTAGATTCTATTTTCCCAATCTATTGCTGTCTATGAGCAGTGCTATGGCAGAAGGGCCTAATCCAGTACTCAACTTTCTAAGCCTGACATTTTCCACATATGTAAATAGGTCTTCTTGAATTTCTATTAATACTTTTATAGATAAGAAAGTTGGACTATTAACTGAGACTAAATAACTTGCCAAAGGTGACAGAGTGGTTTGGCATCATTCAGACTATGAGTTTCAACATACAAGTCATGAGAATCTAGGTTATCGTATGGCCACTAAACCACATTTCCACTTTGCCTCCCACTACAAAAGAATGCAAATTGAAGAAATTTAACAGTGGGAGGCTTCTGAATACAGTCATGAATTTTCTGCCTGGGCTACTGTAGAAACAATGTGTCTCAATTCACAGCTGGTATGTTAAAAATCATCTTCCCCAAGTCAATAAATCCCCTCTGTCGCCTCAACTTGAAACTGCCTGTTCTTCGTTCTTCATGTTTACTCGATGCTTATTTCCATATCGTGTCACAGAAGCAGTGCCTTTTCCAATATCCATCCTCACAGACCTTATACCCTCATCACATCTGGAAGCGTTCTTCTGGATAAGCATCTGAGGATGCCATCGAGGTCCCGCTAGGGAGCCCTCCTTCTGTGGCCTTCCTGAGTACACACATGCACACACACACACACACACACACACACATGCATGTACACACACATGTACACATAGAGCTCCCTGTTTGTGCTTTCATCTTCTGATGACCAGATCCTGTCTTTACTATTTCCTGTTGCTCTAGTGAGTCTCTTCCAGGGCTCCAGCGCAGGCCCTCCGATGGCCATCACTACCCCCGGCTCCTCTGTGTGCATTGGTTTGCACACTCTTCTGACTTCATTTGCTTTACAATGAGGCAAGGATTCTGTTTTCTAGAACACAGGAGAATTATCATTTGATGTGTCTGAAGGATCTTTATTGCAGGAGAAACAGCTGTTGATGGAGAGCCGGGGTGGTTGGGGGTGGAGGGGAGTGGTGATGGTATCCATCTCAGCTCCACCTTGAATAGATGCTGTCCCTCCTATTTGCCCCATGGGTCCACCTGGCCTGGAACACTCTAAATGCAGCAAGTCCACGTACACCTGTGCTGCTTCTGCCTGTCAGCAGCTCTGCTTAGCAAGCTTAGCCAAGAGAAAGTCCTGCTCCTCATTAGGGTCGACGAGTTCTTCCCCACAGAGCAGCCTACTCCCTGGCATAGGCCTTCTGGGATGAACTGGTGCCCAGAAGCAAAATCAAAAAAGAAATTCCATCGTAAATATTGGAGATTCATTTTCTGTCCACTTCAAAATCAAGGCCTCTGATGATCAACGTGATTGGTCGTCCAAGCAGCCATGTCATTACCAACCTGCCCCACAACACAGTTGCTCACACATGACCAGCGACAGCTAGACACCAAAGTAGTGAAGCAGCCTGCCCATCTGCAGCAGAGGGTCCCACAGAGGCCACCGCTCCTGGAACTGACGGGCCCTGATATCGCACACAGGAACAGCACTCACGGTTGTGGCTTCCCGAACACAGGACAGAGGCAGCGCATGATGTTTGGACTCGAAAGCACCCGCATCATTTCTCCTTTCCCAACTCATACTGAACTCTGCATGGACAGGTTCCCTCCTTAGCAGCAAAACTTCCCCAGTCAGACTTACAAGCCAGACTTGCCCAGTCTCTCTTGTTTCTTCAACAAGAGAGAGTTCAGACCCTATGTGGCTATGAAGCACCTCACCAGGTCATCCCTCGAGGAGGCTGGAGAAGGAGGCAGCTCTCCACCGAGCTCTGATTCTGGAGGAGCGAGCAGGCTCTCCACCTCCACCCAGCTCTTATTCTGTAGGACGGAACACTCCAATGCAGGATGCAAGACAAGATTCATCACTAAGCTGTTGCCTAAATGTCAATTTAGCCTTTATTGAACATCCATCTGGTATTTGAATGTGCATTGGGGATCTGGGGGAATTTTGTTTAGAAATAGAAAACACAGACCCTTCTTCAAGAGGCCATAATCGAGTTGGAGAAATGTTTGATATTAAGCTGTAAAGAGAGTCACGCAGGATCAATTGAGAACATGTGAAATTTTTCGCAAATAGTGAGAAATCATCCGAACACCACCTGCATAAAAACCCACCTAACTCCCACTGTAAGCTCCATCTGAACCTAATGAGGATGGTAGTTACCGATTTCCAAAAAGGTTGTCTTCATTCCTTTGATTTGCGCTGTAAGTGTTAAACTTTAAAAATAGTCTAAAGGTACTAAAAATGATTTCATGTTTTTCTCAGTACAATTTTGTTAGGTTTATGTTTAATTAGCCAAGTGTTACATTGAGGATATGAGAACGAGCAATATTCTGTTGCTATAAATCCTTCAGTTACTAAACCATACGGAGATTTCAGTAAAGAGAGGTGGAGGCAACAGTCACACGTGTGCACACACACACGAATACACACACATACACACATAAACATGCTTATACACAGATACACGCATGCAAACATATATATACACAAAGATACACGCACACATACACATGCATATACACAAACACATGCATACACGCACAGAGCTACATGGACACACACAGGTGCATACACACATAAACAGACACATATACACATACATATACACATAGATTGCTAGGGCTGCCATGACAAAGTACCACAAACCAGGCAACTAAAAAAACACAAATTGATTCTCTCACAGCTCTGGAGGTAGAAAGTCAAAAACCAAAGGCCACGCTTCGTCTGAAACCTGGGAGAGGAGCCTTTCTTGCCTCTTCCTGGCTTCTGGTGTTGCCAGCAATCTTTCACATTCCTTGTCTTGGAGATGCCTCCCTCCAGTCTCTGCCTCTGTCCCCCAGGGGCAGTTCCCCTGTGTCTCCTCACATCACACTGCCTCTGTACGTCTTCCCTCTCCTCCCCTTGTCTCTCGTCCTATAAGGACACCAGTTAGATTTGATTAAGGCCCTACCCTACTCCAGTAAAACCTCATCTTAACTTAGATCTTCATAACATCTGCAAGGACTCCATTTCCAAATAAACTGCCACTCACAGGTACCAGAGATTAGGGCCCAACATCTTTTTCTGGGAACACAATTCAACCCACAGGTACACACACCCTCCACAAACAAATAATGTTGGCTTAGTTTTTAATTAATTGTGCTGAAGTGATATGTCATTTACATTTTCTGTCTGAGTTCCTGTATTGTGCGATCTTGAATTTTCCAGAGTAATTGACTTAATCTATTCATTTCTAAGATACAGAATAAGGTACCCCTAACTTTTACCATTGCATAGCTCAGGCAGGACTAGTATAAATGATGAAGACAGGAAGATTATTAATATTTTCATCACAGACCCCTCATATTTTCATTATTTAACACATAATAATCTTCTAAGACTACTCAATCTTCTAATAATATTTAAATTTTCAATTTAAAATATTATTTTTATTCTGCAAAGGACATCATTGGGTCAGCTGACAAAATTGGAAAACAGCTGGTAACTTAGATAAAAGCACTGTATCAATGTTAAATTGACTTGAATAACTGTACTGTCTTAATGTAAGAGAATATAAGTTGCTTAACTGAACACTAAAGTATTTATTAGTAAAAGACCATCATATCTGCAAATTTCTCTTAAATAGTACAGAAAATTGTAATGAATAACGTGTGTGTGTTGAAAGACACAGAAAAGGAGATATAGCAAATAGGGTGAAATATGAACAATAGCTCAACTGTGACAGATGTTATAAAGGGTGTTCTTAATATTATTTTTGTATTATCTATAAATTTGAAATTTTCAAATGAAAACTTAAAAAGAGATTAAACTGCATTTTTAATTGTATTGAGAGATGAGTCTAAGAAACAACAAAATACACTCTCCAATTTTCAAACCATGCTCCTTATCTTGGTGGGAGGACTTCAAAAAGGTGCCATAGTCATATGACAAATGAAAAGTAATTAAACTTAGTTTACTCCATTATCAAGACTGCGATAAAAGTCATATTCTGGTATTTTGTTCTGTTTTGTTTTGTTTTGTTTTTCAGACAGGGTCTCACTCTGTTGCTGAGGCTGGAGCGCGGTGGTGCGATCACAGTTCGCTGTAGCCTCAAACTCCTGAGCTCAATCGATCCTCCCACTTCAGCCTCCTGAGTAGTTGGGACCACAGGCATGCACCACAATGCCTGGGTAATTTTTGTATATTTTGTAGAGATGGGGTTTCTACTTGTTGCCAAGGCTGATCTCAAACTCCTGGGCTCAGGCAGTCCGCCCACCTCAGCCTCCCAAAGTACTGGGATTATAGGCATAAGCCACAGAGCCCGGTCAGATCATATTCATTTAACTTTAAAGTTGAAAGGATGACACAGATAGAAAATATTTTTTAGTTATAAATACCATATTGGGTGTACCCCTTACCCACACATCAACAGTCCTCAAAGGCAGGGGGGGAAGGGGGATGACTCAGAAATCCCGAGTCCTGAGGAATTACCACTTGGGGCTGGGTACTTGATCATACGAGAAGGTGAGGAGGTGGATTCTGGACTTGCATTTATGGTGACAATGAATCTGAAGTACAATGTCAAGGGTTTAGATAACAATGTTAAGAAAAAAATGTTAGGGAGAAACTGGGTCAAGGTATATGCATTTTGGAATTATTGGTTCTGTGTGGGCTCTAGAAATAAAGCGACAAAAAAAATAGCAAATATCCCAGTTGCTTAATAGCTTATTGTCCTGCGTAGCGAACTTTTTTCTTAAGGGAAATATCTATTTTTTGGATTTAACATTATTTAACATGTAAGTCACCTTATTCACTCATCAATTTTTGAAAACTAAAAATATAAATCATTCCATTTTGGTGATAAAATTTTAATTTCCTATACTGATAATAAATTTTTCCTTGACAAATGCACTTAGGGCACCCTTCACACTGAAAAACTACAAGAGACAAGTCCCACATCATCAACAGAATGTAAGAATGTAGGTGGATGAAGGATACCACCTGAGACTCTACATTTCTGTTAAACTGGCTTCAAATTATTAAGTAGCTAATCTAAACAAGTGTGCCTGTTTCTGCTCTAAAGCAATGTGGAATTCTTTCAATCCCTTAGGACGTGTTTTTAATAATAAACTTTTAAAAATGTGTTTAATAAAATATAACAAACTTTATAATGAGTATTCATACTCATACATACATAGTATTACAGGTTGAGCTGTGCCCCCTTAAAATTCGTGCATTGAAGTCCTAACCCCTAGTGCCTCAGAATGTGATTATAGTTGGAGATGGGGCCTTCAAAGAGTTAATTAAGGTTAAATGAGGTCAGATATGTGGAACTTAATTCAACATGACTGGAGTCCTTACAAGAAGCAGAGACTATGACACAGATATGTACAGAGGGAAGCCCATCTGGAGATACAGGGAGAAGACAGCCATCTGCAAGCGAGGAAGAGAGGCCTCAGAAGAAACCAACCTTTTCAACACCTTGATCTTGGGCTTCTGGTCTGTGAGGAAATACATTTCTGTTATTTAAGCCACCTGGTCTGTAGTAGGCAGCCTGAGCAAACTAATATACATGTATATTTTAGTTTTGTCTAAGAAAACTCTTGAATGGATTATGACAGACTGGAATTCTAGACTGATAATAAATTACTGTGTGACCTCCTTAAAATTTAGAGATAAGAGGAGGTCCTAGACAACGTCTAACGTTTCATCATTTTATACCCATATACAAAAGCTTTTTTTCTGAAACAGAAAGCATCATACCTTGGTTGGGAAGCTGACATTCCCTTGGATCAAGACATGGCTGCTAACTGTAGGAGTGACTACTTATGTAACAGTCATTCAAATGAAAATACCTATGCTAAAAATGATTATTTGCAACATTCATGTATTTACTTCTTATTAGACAAGTAATTATTAAGCATATGGCATATACCTTATACTAGGCATTGGAAAAATCAAAAAATAAAATACAGTCATTATCCTTAGGATTCTAATTCAAATTCAACACGATGTATGCTATAGCAGAGACATAAATACAGCCAAGGTGGTGTCTAGCTTTACCTGGGGAACTTGAGGAAGGCTTCCCAGAGGAGGAAAGTCTTTTGAGCTATATCTTTAAGGATGGGCAGGGGTTCGTCTGATGGGGAAGAGGAAGAAAGGGTACTCCAAGCAGAGGGAAGACTATCTGGTAAAATAGTAATTCTCAAAATGATCTGTAGATTCGAAATAATCCCTTTTGAAATATCATCAAAGTTTTTAAAGAACTAGACAAACTAACTCTAAAATTTATATGGAAATATAATGATCTGTATTAGCCAAAGCAATTCTGAAAAATGAAACAAAATCTCAGGCCTTAAACTTCCTGATTTCAGGACTTGCTATAATGCAGCACACAAGCCAATAAACTAGGCCAATCAATTGTCAGAAAGAAAGTTTTCTGGGTTTTACTAATGATTCCAAGCAGTAATTGTCCTTTAGTTTCTCAAAAAAAAAATTGTTTAATTTTCTAGTTCACCTGGCAAAATGAAAGACAGTTTTAGACATCATCATATACAGTTACAGAAATCAAGCCAGTGTGGTACTGGCATCAGGATGGATAAATAGATCAACAGAACAGAAGAGTGAGTCTAACAGAGGAGCCAAGGTAGCTCAACGGGAGAGGGCTGGTCATTTCAATATACGGGGCTTGGACAAGAGGAGAAACATATGCACGATAGCAACAGTAACATAACCATTGTCCCTTACATCACACCAAACACAAAGATTAACAAGAAATTGACCAAGGATCTAAATGAAAGAGCTATTACTTTAAATCTTCTAGAAGGGGCCGGGCACGGTGGCTCACACCTGTAATCCCAGCACTTTGGGAGGCCGAGGCGGGTGGATCACCTGAGGTCAGGAGTTCAAGACCAGCCTGGCCAACATAGTGAAACTCCATCTCTACTAAAAATACAAAAATTAGCCGGGTGTGGTGGCATGCACCTGTAGTCCCGCTACTCAGGAGGCTGAGGCAGGGGTATCGCTTGAACCTGGGAGGTGGAGGTTGCAGTGAGTTGAGATCGTGTCTTTGCACTCCAGCCTGGGTGACAGAGCAAGACTCTGTCTCAAAAATAAATAAATAAATAAATAAAAATTAAAAAAAAATCTAGAAGGAAAAATATAACAGACATTTTCTTTGTAACCTTGAGCAAGACAACAATTTCTAGATAAGATAAACCAAAAAATGAACAGTAAAAGCAAAAAATCAATATATTGGACTTCATCAAAATTAAAATTAAAATGTTGTTGAAGCCAGGCATGGTAGTTCACACCTACAATCCCAGTGCTTTGGGAAGCTGAGACGGGAGGACTGCTTGATCCCAGGAGATTGAGGCCAGCCTGGGCAACACAGGGAGACCCTGTCTCTAAAAGAATAAAAATAAAAATAATTACTCAGGTGTGGTGGTGTTTGCCTGTAGTCCCAGATACTCAGGAGGCTAAGGCAGGGGGTGGGAGTCCCTTTAGGCCAGAAGTTTGAGGCTGCAGATTACGGCACTGTACTCCAGCTTGGGCAACAGAGCAAAAGCCTGTGTCCAAAAGGGGGAAAAAAAACTTTGAAAGTCACCATAAAGATGAAAAGGCAACCTTCAGACTGGCAGAAAATACATACAAATCATCTGTCTGAGAAAGGACCTATGTTGAGAGTATACATAAAAAAACTTACAGTTTAGTATTAAGAAAACAACCAAGCAACCAACAACCCAATTAAAAATGGAGAAAAATTTGAATAGATGCCACAGTAAAGAAGATAGCAGAATGTCAAATGTGCACATGAAAAGATGGTGCAGATCATTACACAACAGGGAAATGCAAATTAAAACAATGTAAGATATTATCATGCACCTACTAAAATATCCAAAATTAAAAAGACTGACAATACCAAGTGTTGGCAAGGATATAGAGAAACTAAAGCCCTTAAATATTATTGTGGAGATACTTTAAAATGTTTTAAAAATAGTTTGGCAGTTTCTTTAAAACTGTAAAGTTTCTTTAAAAATTGAATATATGCTACCACAGAGTTTGGCAATTCCACAAAGTCTGCTCCCAAGAGGAGTGAAAACATGTATACACAAAGGCGTTTACACAAATGGTCACAGCAGCATTATTTATGATAGTCAAAAGTGATGAAAGAATTAGAATAAAACCTGAATAGGACATGGAACCAGAAGTTTTCAGGCAGGAAGTAACAAAGTGAGGCTTGTTTATTCAAAAGATAAATCAGACATGGAAGTTGGACTGAAGCAGGTGAGAGACTCGTAGCAGGAAGACCAGATGCTTAACCTCCTTGGATGGATTCTGTTTTAACTGACAGGAAGACAGTTGGATTTCCTAAAGGAGAGGCTTAGCTTGTGGGAGGAAGTGCAGTGGAAAGGATATGAACTTCTCATCATCCTGGTTCAGCATCCCAGGTGCGCACCTGAGCATGTGAGTCCCCCTTTGCCCAACCTCCAGTCTCAGGCGCCTCACCCACCACAGGAGGGGATGTCCCCAGCCTCACCGGGCTGCGGCGAGGCGGTGCAGTATCTGTGGACAGCTTCTGGCTGATGCCTGCCACATGGGTGGGACTCGGGGTAGCTGAGTTTCCTTCTCCTTCTCTTCTAACTTCTTATCCAAGGAAAAGGAAAAGACCTGTCTGGCCTTCCATAATCAGTAAGGTAAATTCATCCATCCACAGAGAAAATAACCGGGAAGCCTACAGTGCACATTTTCTCTCTGCCCCCACCCCCTATGCCCATGCCGCATCACCATGACGACTCTCTGCCCTGCCAGGCTTGCTCTGCATCCCAGAAAGTTGGGCCCTTGGGGCTGTACCCACAAGGCTCCCCTGATCTCTGGCTGCCAGCTGCCACCCAGCTCTGGGTCACATTTTCTGACAGTGGCTTCATCCTTCCCTGCTACAGATCCTCTTGGCCATCCTCTTCCTCTCCTCCATGCCTCCTGGAGCTGCGGCAGCACTAAGCAGGCCACTTACTTCTGAAAGACTGGGGTGCTGATGGAGCTGGCAGTTTCTGGGTTCCTCACTACCACTGCCCACATCTCTGCAAATTCATCTTTGTCATTAAAGCATCTAGAATTATTTGGATTGATTCTGTTTCATACTCAGACCCCAATTCAAAGGGTCTAAAACAGGTAAAATGGACAGAGGTGGGGCAAATATATCCAAATAAAAGAGGATCCTTTTATCTTATGCTCAGGGCCTTGCTGACAGAAGGTAGCATCTTTGGTGATGCGACGTTTTTTCCTCTCCAGGAGCAAACATCCAAGGAGCACAAACTGCCAGTCTCTAGTTGTAGTGAGCAACACTGGCTACACTGCTTTCTACTCTTATTCAAGCATTGTGCTGTGAGTGAATTAATATTGTGCTGTTTCCATTCCTGTTAAAATATTCTTCATAGTGACAAAGAATACACAAAAATGTCCAGACTGACATAACGGTGCCACCTGAAGCATAACTCTTGGAAGTCAAATGTGCTGTGACCAAAGAGGTTTCTAAAGAGACACAGTGTATTCGTCCATTCTCATGTTGCTAATAAAGACTCACAGTTTCACATGGCTAAGGAGGCCTCACAATTATAGCAGAAGGCGAAAGAGGAGCAAAAGCATGTCTTACATGGTGGCAGGTAAGAGAGTGTGTGCAGGGGAACTGCCTTTTTTTCTTTTTTTTGAGATGGAGTTTCACTCTTGTTGCCCAGGCTGGAGTGCAATGGCCCAATCTTGGCTCACCGCAACCTCCGCCTCCCGGGTTCAAGCAATTCTCCTGCCTCAGCCTCCCAAGTAGCTGAGATTACAGGCATGTGCCACCACGCCCAGCTAATTTTGTATTTTTAGTAGAGACAGGGTTTCTCCATGTTGGTCAGGCTGGTCTCGAACTCCCGACCTCAGGTGATCTGCCCACCTCAGCCTCCCAAAGTGCTAGGATTACAGGCATGAGTAACCGCGCCCAGCCGGGAACTGCCTTTCATAGAACTATCAGGTCTCATGAAACTTATTCATTATCAGGAGAGCAGCATGGGAAAGACCCGCCCCCATGATTCAATTACCTCCCACAGGGTCCCTCCCATGACACATGGGAATTATGGGAGCTCAAGATGAGATTGGGTGGAGACACAACCAAATCATATCACACAGTTTCTTCTCTGAATTTATGGGTCTTTGAGGTACTTTTATGACAATGAGAAAAACTCTCTCTAGGTGTGTGCAACCACATACCAGGGAACTAAGTCTAGGGAACAGACCATAAGCCGCATTTCATCCCCAATTCATTGCTGCAGCCAGGTATGCCTGTGCAGTATACAACCTACACAACTGCAAGTGGCAGCCGTTACTTCATATGATTCTAGGACACTCGCACTTACTTCTTGGACTCAATTTTCATATGTATAAAATGAATAATGCTATACACTTTTCACCTAGCTTTATACAACTAGAGGTATTGTACTTTGAATTCAAAGAACTATAACTTATCTAAAAACATTCAGGTATACAAAGTTCAACCATCCAAAGTGTTCACCTATACAAAGAAAAGTTACCATTCTTTTGTGGGCTGATTATAGGTTACTTAGCAGGGGACTTTTTGTTCCTGGTGGTTAACGCAGATCCTAATATCCAACTTGGTCAACTTTCAAAAGTGCCTTATCAGACTTTCACTTCTGGCTACAATGGAATAACAAGCACTGAATTTATCTCCCTCCCTGAAGCAACCTAATAATTCCACAAAATATATGAAACAATGGTTTTCAAGACAGTGACATGAGACAATGTGGGACAAAGGTCCGTGAGAGACAGGAAGCAAGCGTGCTGAGTCCTGCAATCACTCCAGCCTCCTGCCTTCAGAGAGTGGCCAGGCCCTGGTTCAGGGAGGGAGACCCCAGCGGGAGCTCAGCAGACTTGCGGAATTGAACCCACAGGTCTGTGTGTAGGGGGAAGACGGGGCAGCTGGAGTTAACAGAACTGAGCAGAGAGAGCTGCACAGAGAAGACTAGAAAACTGTACGACGGGTTCACCTGAAGCGTCTGGCTGCTGGTGTAAACCTGCGCTTTGGAAAATGGTATGCACACGTACACTCACTATGGAAAAATAGTTTGGCAATTTCTTAAAAAGGTGAACATGTATCTAACAGGAGATCCAGCCATTCTTCTCCAGAATTTCTAACCAATGCAGAGAAAACCCGTGTGCATGCAAAAACTTGTACACAAATGCTCCTGGCAGCTCTGTTTGAAATAGCCCCAAACAGGAAGCCACCCAAATGTTCCTCAACTGATGAGTGAATAAACTGGTGGATCCCTGCAGTCCATGTGGCGGCAGGCTGCTCAGTACCAACGAGGAGGGAGCTGGGACATATGCAGCAGCATGCGTGAGTCTTAAAATAATGATGCTGTGTGAAAGAAGACAAGCAGAAAGAAACACACACTGGGTAACTCCACTTCCAAAACCTCTAAAAAATGGTAACTAATCTATGGGGACAGAGAACAGATCAGTGGTCTCCAGGAGATGAGAAGGGGAGGCAGAGTGGGGTGGGAGGGAGAGAATCCAAAGAAACCTGAGGCAATTGTGGGGGTGATGGGTTCACTGACTGTGATAGTGGTCTTACCGGTGTATACATGTATCATGACTAATTGAATTGCACACTTTCAATATGTGTGTTTTATCACACACCACTTATACCTCAGTGAAAAATTTCATGCACAGAAAAAAGGTTTAAGAATACAGTGGCTTGTTTAACCAAAGATTTTCATATGTGGCTGTCTTCTCACAATGCAGCTGGAGGGAGGCCACAAGAAGAATGTGTTCACACCCCAGGAGTTGGAGGTTGCAGTGAGCCGAGATCACGCCACTGCACTCCAGCTTGGGTGACAGAGTGAGACTCCATCTCAAAAAAAAAAAAAAATTGTTCATGCGCAGTCACTTTCTTAACCCCAATTTTGCTATTGAGCAACGTGTAAAAGGATTGTCACTATGCTGCATTTGAAAGCATGCCCTGTTTCAGATGTCCCAAATGGCAACAGGGTCACTCACAAAGAGAACAGGGTTCAGTATATGCCTTGATTCCTGTCCTCCAAAACGGTACCCATAGGTAAGTTCTCCCTGCAAAAGGGAACTGAAAAAATGAGGTCCTGGCTTTGGGCTTTCATTACTTTCATACACACACACGCACATGCACACGTACTCACACACACATAAAGTTTTTGTTTTGTTATTCTAATTTGTGCTTCGATTTGCCCAGGAGACTGGGTCCTAGAATTTGATCAATTCTACCTTCCCGGTCCACTGCTAGAGAATTAATCTGGAATCACATTAAAAACTCCTGGAGCCCCCATCACTATAGCTTCTGAAGGAAAAGAATAGGAAGAAAAATCAATGTGCTTTGTGTATTCACAGACTTCTGATAAACTCTGGGCATGAATCCTGTCTCGATTTTAAGAGGCTCTAAATGGTAGTGAATTGTGAGCCTCACTGCAGAGCTAAGAAGTAGCCCCCTCAGAACTGGAGAGTAAACAGGGCCACGTGGGTTTCCCATGCCCAGTCCCCAGGGATTTAGACCTAGTGTATGTTTGTCACCACCAACTAGTGACAAGGACAAATTTTCCAATTAGAAGAAAGTCCTTTATTTGAAACTATATATTTCCCAGATTTCCTGTTAAAATGATTCCCTTTTATTAAGTGATGTTGAGACTAGATACTTTTGTTACTGTGTTTTTAAACATCCTTACATGGTAAAATGAAATATTGTAAACCTATATTGCTCAGTCCTCCACTTTATTTTTAAGAAAAGTTAACTTGTTAATAAAACTGAAAAGTCTTAAATGTATCAATACTTGTCATTGCATGTGGAAAATTTTATCGACATTTTGGTTTTGGTTTATATAGACTAAGTTACAATAAAAACAAAGAACTGTGAACACAATCACACATGATCACGAATGACAACGCTACTCCTACAGCGTAAGAAATCTCATCTTAAATTTCCTCAACCCAATATTTTCAAAAAGAACTTGACCTGCCAAGCTTCCAGAAAACACAAATAAGGAGGCAGAATAATCACTTCCCACCGTTGCTCCAAGGAGACCCCCGAAGAGCCTGAAGATGTGAAGCTCTGATAAGGTAACTAATAATTCCTTGGATAGTCTACTGGCGTAGGAGCCATGGAAACAGAGAAACAGCATTGGCACCAATGAAGGTTAATCAAATCATAACACAGACATGCATTTTATTACTCTGACGGCACACAGCAACACAGAGTTATCAGGTGCAGATGAACCTAATTAGATTGGGTAGGGGGAAATGGACAGCTGTGAGGTGACTGCTTTGAGCTCTCCTGAAAGATAAGGTCAGATTTACCAAAGACACATAGGTGGAAACTCAAAGACCAGTTTTTGGTAGAGGGGCAGGTCCTTGTGAGACTCAGTCCTACTATCCTGAGGTCAAGAAGTTCAAAACAAAGTGGAAAGACTGGACATCTGATTCACTTGTTTTAATTTTTTTTTTTTTTAATTTTTAGAGATGGGGTCTCACTCTGTCACCCAGGCTGGAGTGCAGTGGTGCGATCACAGCTCACTGCTGCCTCAACCTCCCATGCCCAAGTATCTCCTGCCTCAGCCTCCTAATTAGCTGGGACTACAGGCCTATGCCACCATGCCTGGCTAAGTTTTGAATTTTTCTGCAGAGATAGGATCTTGCTATGTTGCCCAGGCTGATCACCAACACCTGGACTAAAGCGATCCTCCTGCGTTGGACTCCCTAGTGCTGGGATTCTGGGTGTGAGCCACCGTGCCCAGCCCCTAGTCACTTTCAAACAGAATTTAGCAAGTTTGGAAAGGTTACTAGATAGCAAGGAAAACCATTTTCACAGAAGGCAGTAAGACAGTAGCAATGATGTAATTTTTCCCTCAAAAAAACTAGAAGGCAAGAGATCTCCAACAACAAGGGCCTGGGAATTTGACACACTTGTTTCCACACACTTCATAGAGCTACGAACTGGAGAAGTCTTTGAATGTGGGGTAAGATAGGGAAGGTCAAGCCCTGTAGGTATACAGGTGGGCATGGGAGCCAGACGGAGTCAGTGGACAGGTGAAGAGGGCCTTATCCATCTAACATGTACTGTGGTTAGGCCTGGAGACATTCAATAAGTGGCATCTGAGTGCATGAATGTTTCAATACCCTCAACGCACTGCGGTTATGTTCTTGAAAATGTACATTGCATTCAAACATTATACTCCGAACTTAGGTGCCCAAATGAACAGTATTGATAAATGGAAATTTCATTTCTCATAGAGTCCTTGACTGTCCTCTCATATCATAAAAAATAAAGGGGATACATAGGTAGATGAATACAGATGTGATACCCTTTAAAAATAATAGCAGGCCAGGCATGTGGGCTCATGCCTGTAATACTTTGGGAGGCTAAGGTGGGCAGATCGCTAGAAGTCAGGAGTTCAAGCCAGCCTGGACAACATGGTGAAACCCTATCTCTACTAAAAATACAAACATTAGCCAAGCATGGTGGCATGTGCCTGTAATCCCAGCTACTAGGGAGGCTAAGGCAGGAGAATCGCTTGAACCTGGGAGGCGGAGGTTGCAGTGAGCTGAGGTCACGCACTGCACTCCAGCCTGGGTGACAAGAGTGAGACTCTGTCTCAAAAAAATAAAAATAAAAATAATAGCAAATAATGAGCATAAAAGTAACAAAGATTTATGTTAAACTCCTAAATGTTTCTTGTATCTCTATAGGTATTACCCCCAATCAAATTCCCAAATTAAATAAATTTTATAAAAATACATGCAGAGCTTCTAATAACAGAAATTCCACTCTACTCTAAGGATGTCAGTACAATAGTGCTATTAAAAACACATTTGGTTTACATTCAAAGGCTACCTTTCAGAGATTAAGGCACATCACATTTTAAAGCGAATCTCAAAGAAAAAGTAGATAAATTTATTTTATCCACCACTGAAGTCCAATCACTAAGCATAGCAGCAGATATTTAACATGTGCTTAGAAAATATTTTTCAAATAAAAAATGATTTATCAAAACTCGTAAGAGATACTTCAAAGCATAATATCCAAAACAGCATAAAATTAACTGGCCAAATTAAGCCTAAAAATATTAGTAATAAGTAACACTGAAAAAATTATTATCCTCAGTATATAAAGAGCTCTTACAATTTAGTAAAAACATGCTATTATCAAGCCACAGAAAATAGGCCAGTGACATAAACGTACCTATCCCAGTAAATGCTTGAAACTGTTTAACCTCATTATTAATAGTAATTTAAACTTTTTTACCAGAAAGAGAGCATTTTGCTCATCAAATTTACAATCTTTCTAAAAATTCAATAACCACCATTGAATAAAAATTCAATGGTAGTTAGCTCTGGCAAAATGGGTTCACTCATACATTGCTAGTGGGAATATAAATTAGCAAAACCTCTCTGAAAAACAAACTGGTAATATAATTCATATCAAGAGTTTTAAAAAGTTTATAACTTTCAACACAGCAACTCCTAGTAATAATCTCTCCTGTGACAATAAAATATATGGGCAAAGATGGTGTATGAAGATGTTTATTACAAATAATTTTTTAAATATTTATATTTTCATTTATAATGTTAAAGTTTATATGTTTATAAATATTTATATAATATATACTATGTAATTTTTCATAATTTAAAAAATAAAAATTTTATTCATTTACTTTATAAAAAATTACAAATAAATATAAAATATATAAACAAATATTACAAATATAATTACATAATATACAGTATACAATATGCAAATATTTATAAAAATATATGAATAAAATTTTTATTTTATAAATGGCAATTTTTATAAGTATAAAATTTTATGCATAAATAAAATTATATAATTATATATTCATTTATAGGTGTATATATTTATAAGCATAAATATATAAACAATTGTTTATAAATATATTTTTAAATTGCAAACAACTTAAATTTTCAAGAATTGGAAGTGGTTATGTGTAACATAGTATGCGTATGAAGAAAATCATTAAAATAAACCTTTGAAGTATAAACGCCTTTGGAAAATACCCCCAATATGACACTATGTAATAAAATCAATACAAAAACTCTCTGTACAGCGTGATTCTATCTATACTATCTTATGAATATAATAATTCACAGACACAGATATACATACACATTTATGCATCTAAAAAATGGACAAAAAGCCCACCATATGGTTCATAGCAGTGAATGACTATGTGTATTATATGTTTTCATTAAAAATATTTTCAGAGAAAATAATTTTTGTAAAAATACTAATTATATAAAGCAAAAAGTAAAATCCCCCAATTACCAAAAACCCCCAAACATACTCACTCTTTGTCCTCCACCAACATACCCACTGATATCAGTCTGAAGCATAGGATGTATTTAAACATAAATCTTTTAAAAATATAGGCAGAATTAAATCTTTTTAAAATATAGGCAGAATTATCCTGTGCATATCGATCCATCTTGGAGATCTTTCCTAGCCCGTACATAATCATCATTCTTATTAATGTCTGGTTATAATTCTATGGCTATATAAAAATGTGTTTAACCCATCCCAATAAAAGGGATTTTTTTTTTAATCCAGACTTTCACTATTACAAATAATGTTGTATGAAACAGCTTAGTACACTTCTTTCTATCCTCTTTAAGAAACATATCCAGAAGTGTTAACTTTCAGGAAAAAGTGATCACACATTCATTTTCACAGACAATGGCAAATTTTCCTCCTAATTATCCCTACCACTTTATATCCCCAAAATAGTACAGGAGAGAACTTACATCCCTACAGCCTTGACTGAGTATTTTCTTTCTGCTTCACTTTTGGAAAATATTTCCACTGGTGTTCTTTTTTTTTTTTTTTTTTTTTTTTTTTTTTTTTTTTTTTTTTTTTTTGAGATGCAGTCTCATTCTGTCACCCAGGCTGGAGTGCAGTGGTGCAATCTCGGCTCACTGCAACTTCTGCGCCCTGGGTTGAAGTGATTCTCCTGCCTCAGCCTCCCCAGTAGCTGGGACTACAGATGTGCATCACCATGCTCAGCTGATTTTTGTATTTTTAGTAGAGACGGGGTTTCACCATGTGGACCAGGCTGGTCTTGAACTCCTGACCTCAGATGATCCACCTGCCTGGCCCCTGGCATCTTTAAAATTACTAGTGAGTTCACTTTTTAAGTTGCTTGGCTATTGACATTTCTATTGATAATGGTTTATTTATATCTGGAGCTCAGACCATTTGCTGTTCTCTAATATTCACTCACTCAGTCTTTCTTAGCAATAACACCCCAATATTTAATGGGACATGCGGTCATACAGGATGAAGACTACATTGCCAAGTCTCTTTTAAAGTTAGGGATACTCATGTGACTAAACACTGGGCAAGGGGACATGAAGAAAAGGGTTTGTTATAAGACTTCCAGAAAGTGATTTTAAAGGAAAAGTGCACATCTTTCCTAGTTGTTGGAATGTAGACGCAACAGCAGAAGCTGAGGCATGCATCTTGGACGATGAATAAAAGACACATATGGCTGGGCACGGTGGCTCACGCCTGTAATCCCAGCACTTTAGGAAGCCAAGGCAGGCGGATCACCTGATGTTAGGAGTTCAACACCAGCCTGGCCAACATGGCGAAACCCCGTCTCAACTAAAAATACAAAAATCAGCCAGGCATGGTGGTGTGTGCCTGAAATCCCAGCTACGCGGGAGGCTGAGGCAGGAGAATTGCTTGAACCTTGGAGGCAGAGGTTGCAGTGAGCCGAGGTTGCACCACTACATTCTAGTCTGGGCAACAGAGTGAAACGCTGTCAAAAAAAAAAGACAAATGTTTTGGATGTTACAGTAACAAACCAGAGGGGTCTCAGATCATGATAATGTTTGAGAAGCCACCTTACCAGTCATTGACCATTTACCTCTGGACATTGTTTATGTGAGAATTAAATGTTTGTCTTGTTAAAAACCCTTTTATCATAAATTTTCTATCATCTTCAATTTGACCTAATTGTATCCTTTGCCAATTTTTTAATTGGCTTGTTTACTTATATCCTTGCCAATTTTTTTAACTGGTTTACTTATTAATTATTTATTTTTTGAGATAGGGTTTTCTCTGTCACTCAGGCTGGAGTCCAGTGACATGAATGTGGCTCTGCAGCCTTGACCGCTTGGGCTCAAGTGATGCTCCCACCTCAGCTTCCCAAGTAGCTGGGACGAGAAGCACATGCTACTATGCCAGGCTAATTTTTTTTTTTTTTTTTTAGAGATGGGGTCTTTCTATGTTGCCCAGGCTAATCTCAAACCCCTGGGCTCAAGTGATCCCTCTGCCTTGTTCCCCCAAAGTATTGGGATTGCAGGTGTGAGCCACTGTGCCCATCCTGGTTTTTCTTTTTTTCCTGTTGGCATGTACTTCTTTATGAAATAAATAGAATTTCTTCTGTCGGCAGCAAATCATGAAATAAATTCCATTCATTCATCTATTCATAAATTAGCTTAATAATTCATTATCATATGCAACTTTCACCCAAAGGCAATGCGTGGGTGTGGCTATGGGTGTGATGGGCTGGGTACACTGCAGACACTAGGAGGAATCCAAACAAACGAATCTTTAAAATCCTGTCCATAAGTGTATGAAATATTTGGCATTCAAGTTACCCTAGGAGAAGAAGATATTTTTCTCATTTTCAGTAAAGAAAAACAGAAACCTAACTTCTTGCTTCTTTCATTGGCCGAAAGGATGGTATTACAGATTTGCTTTAAGAGAAAATAATCTCAAAATCTCATCTTTTAAAATGTTAGGGTAACCCATTAAAGCCACATTTGGCAAGTCAGGTTTCATGACTGCAGATGCAAATATTTAGGTGCACACTCCCTTGGTGTGCAAACCCCGTGCACTGAGGAAGGTTTTTCTGCGAACTGCTGAAGCTGAAGCTTCAGGGCTGTTCACTTGCTTGGGCCTGTCAGGAGGTCTAGTGAGGACTGAGCAAGGTGATCACATGGCTATGTATTCCCCAAAATTTAAGAAGATATTTTCACAGCTGTTGCTTAGGACAGGTGCCCCTTTCCACTCCAGCACTGCCTCTGGTAGAAATCCCCCTGTGTCAGGCGGCCTTGGAGTGGTAATGGGTATTTGGGAAGCTGAGCTATATATGTGCAGTTTGTCTGCCATTTAGTGAGATGTGGTATGGAGTTTACAGTTATTCCTTCACTGAAGTAACATACTCCCAGGTGTTTCAGTGTAAGCATGGCTTCCAAGGATCCTCCTCGCACAGACTGTGTCCACACACCCACCCAACGCCACGAAGTAGGGAAGATCAGAGTTCTGATATGGCACCCAGCACCTGAAACGTGTGGATGGAGAAAAAGGAAGCAGGTTTGAAGTTTAGGGAGCCAGAAGCCTGTCTGTGGATAATTCTTTCAATCATTAGATGTGCCAAGTCATAAGTGCAAGGTGCGATTCTCATCAACACCTTGTCAAACAGAAGTTCATTTTGGCCAAGAATATACTTGATAAGGCCTTGTGCATAAACACAAATGAATCATGTACGCTTTTTGTTTATTTTAATGGAAACCACTTGAGAGAGAATTTACCGGTATTTCCACACTTGAAGTGCAGAAACCTGTAGAAATAAATACTACAGTGAATATGGCAGTTATGAAGTTGCGTGATTTATACACCCTAATGTACTAGATCATGTCTTACTGTATCGGAAACATCTCAAACCAAAGAAATCTGGGCTCCAGATGAAAATAGTACACAAATTGCCACATCCTAACAAAATGCCTGCAGAAGCAAGTGCTATATTCCAGTGACTAAATTGCTACATTTATCTACTAATAATGAACTGCGTGTAGCAATGAACAGGCCATTCAAGTATTTGCTAATTAACTAAGAGAAATAATCATAGGGCCACATTGAAAAAAAGATTTAAATGTTTTCCTGATTTGACATGATATACTAACATTGACTAAGATAACATTCATTTCATAATATGCCAACACAAAAGGACATATTGAAGACATATTCATTGATGAGTTTTGTCAATTGATCAAATATGTAAGCAGTCACTATGCAATAAGACTTGAAATGCTCTGCAATCTTACACACCAGAAATAATGGAAAATTATTAGAAGTTACCTCAAATTTGAAAACAAGCCTCAAAGTTGTCATATTTCCAATAATTTGTAAAACTAAAAGGTACTTTTCAAAACCATCAATAATAAAAATAAATTGTAATCGACTATGCTTGGAAGACTAAATTATTTTCTATTCTTTTTATACAAAGCAATACAATAAAAGTCATATGCCAAGAGGCATATGACCAAAAATCATAGGAAAAAGAGTATTAAAGGGAATATCACACAGCAAGAAAATTGAAATATGTTATTTTTCTAAAAGTATGATTTTCCTGGTATCTACTGAATTTTTAAAATTTATAATCTGTTGTAATTTTCTTATTATCAATTATAGTAATACTTTTGCATTCTGTTTCTTAAAGAAGGTCTCCCAAATGGTGTAATTTAAGATCCCCACAAAATCTGAACTTGTCTCTGCTTAGTTAAGCACCTCCTCAGGACCCCTTGGCCTCGTCAATATTTCCAAAATCCTTCTGGTCTGGGCTGCTCATGGCCATGTCCCTTTCCAGGAAGTGTCCTTGTCAAACTCTCAAGAGATTTAACTTTAACCAAGTTAGTCCTGGGTTTACCCGGCCCTCATCCCCACTCAAGGGACTTTTCAGCATGGAGCTTCCGCTCTACTCCCAAGCTTGAATGAAATCTCTTGATCTTCTGGGCATGGGGTTTTGCTTCCTGGGCAAGTGCAAGGAAATGTGATGTGAACTGGAAATGCGAGGGTGTCTGCTCCCCCCGGGACACACCTTCATCCATAGTAATGGGAGACAGGAGGATTCTGGGTAAACAAAGGCCTCCTTCCCTTCTCCTTGCCTTCAGAGGGCTGGTCCAAGTTGTGGTTTCTTCCTTGCAAATTTTCACTAAGAGTCCTCTGTGTCATACAAACACACCTGCTAAGGACCAACTGTGGCTCTTTAGGGCCCCTGAAGCTGCGGCCGGCAAGAATGCTTCGAGTTGCTTCTCATGTTTCCTTGCCTTTATTCCCCTCTATTTTTCACCCTAGCCATCCCGGGCTTCCACCTTCCAAAGAAAGTGTCAGCTCTCACTCTTGCCCCAAGCTCTGCTCTCTAGAGGACCCTGGCTAAAATGCAAACCATCTAACAGAAATTAAAAAGCCTGGCAATCTAGCAGGTAGGAGCCCTCATTACTGTAGCTATTATCATTACCACGAAGATTCATACCAAAACATGTCAGTACGGATGACCTTGGGTCACTGCTCTGAAATTCAATACAAGGAATTAGAGAAATGAATGAAATTCATGTAAAAAGTAGAAAAATCATATTTAAGACAAATTTTAAAACAAAAGAAAATTAAAAATAAATTATTAGCTTGGAAAATGATAGCATAAAAATGAGCTTTATTTTGATAAGCTCCATTTTGGGTTAAGCTTGATAAATACAAAATACAATACATGCATCTATTTATACACACATAGGCATATGATGACTATAGCAAAAATAGTATATTTCTGCTCATCCTTGCAGAAAACCCATTAATGTACAAATGCAAAAGTGAAGGTTTCTAAAAGTTCTATTTGTGGACGTCTGCACCCGTGTTTTATCCATTGCCATTTTTCTCCTATGGAAGGAGGTGACCAACCCATCTCAGACGCAGGACAAGCTTCCTTGTTCCACCCAGTCAGTTCTAGACAGATGGCCACAATACACATTTTTGAATCATGCCAAAACAAAGATTGAATCTGGCAGAGGCTTTAACCCATAACTTCTTTTCCCAAAGACATTAAATACATTTGCTTGGTATCCTTTCTGACAGCACCAATTCAACAGAGAGGCATGTAGGAACGGACACGCTGAGTGAGTTTTAGGGGAGAAAGTCAGGCAAATATGCATGATCGAAATAGCCTCCCAAACAGGAAGACTTATGTTCTTCTCTCTTCTGGAAATCTAAATCCCATAGTGTGTAATTTTGATTTGCATTGGCAGGACAAGAATATAGCTCAATAAGATGACACAGCACCACGTCCAAGTGTACACCTCATACCTGCTCTTCACAATGGGGAGGCTTAATTGTAGGTAGGGAATGAGCTTGGAGGACTATGACATATATAAAATGAGCCAGGAAAATTCTGTCTGCCTAACTTACATGGATTCATGGCCAAACTGTTCTCCTTTAATTAACACATCTTTCCACATCTCAGATAAGGGGGTCCTTACAACACCACATTTCTTCCCACTCACACTTAATCACAGTGAGCACGAGCTATGGAAGGGGCTCTGTTCATCTGAAGACCCTGAAGATGCTGTCTTTTTCACATGTTGTTTTCCTCTCAGATCAGAGGTAGTCTAGGGAACTGAGATTTCCCAATGGGTTTGAGTTTTACTGCAATTACCAGAAGGCTATTGAAAGATGGGTTTTTAGAATCTGAGCAAATTATCACTGCAGGTAGGTATTCAGAGGATACATGTATCTATATAACTGTGGCATTGAATTTTTAAAAAATATAATCATTTTAGACTAGAAATTAGGGCTCTACCTTGTATTCACCTCAATTGATTTTACTTTTTTTTTTTTTTTTTTGAGACAGAGTCTCAATCTGTCACCCAGGCTGGAGTGCAGTGGCGTGATCTCGGCTCCCTGAAACCTCTGCCTCTGGTTCAAGCAATTCTTGTGCCTCAGCCTCCTGAGTAGCTGGGACTACAGGTGTGTGCCACCACACCGGGCTAATTTTTGTATTTTTAATAGAGATGAGGTTTCACTATGTTGGCCAGTCTGCTCTTGAACTCCTGACCTTAGGTGATCCACCCACCTTGGCCTCCCAAAGTTCTGGGATTACAAGCGTGAGCCAGCACACCCGGCCCTTGATTTTACTTTTTAAATTGTAGTCCACTTGCTCAAATTTGGAAACTAAAAGACAACAGAATTCTATTTCTACCAAGTTTTATTGACTATTTAGTTACCAGCTTTACTGATCACAACCAAGTTTACTAACTGACTTTGCCTTTTCTAGAGTGCCACCGTTCTGCTCATGAATTTGAAATTATACTGGTTTTCATGCACTTATTACATACATAATTATTCTGTGTGATGAACAGCTCAAGACCTTAGGAATAAAGGAATAAAAGACCTCTGTGTTTTGAAAATAAGAATCTGAATAAATAGAAAGATTCCCTTTCAATCAAATCTTATTTACCACACAACTTGTGAGTAACCTGCAAAATACTGTAGGCAATAACAGAAGTAACAGACCCTGCTCCTTTCCTCAAAGAATTCAAAATTTAGTCAATTAAGCCAAATAAAGCCTTACCAGTAACTATTTAGCTTAATAATTTCTTGTTTTTCTGGCACTTTCAGAAAATGAACCCTACATAAAGCACCAAAATATTTTTAATCTTATTTGAGTGAATCTTTGATGTGACATCCTGTTCCCAAGAGTATTACAAATACGACTCTGTGGTTCAGGGTCTTCACGGCAAACAGTGATGCACAACAGCACGGCAGACCCTTGGGAGCAATCTAGTGCTGGCTGCTTCCTGTGGGCCCCCCGACCTCACGCCACTGTGCTTCTGCCCAAAGGGGCTGCTGGTTTGCTTTTCCTGCCCCTCCCACAGGCGTCAGCTCTGCTTCCCGCCCCTCTGTTTCTCACTGGCTGCCTCTCACTGTGCTGTGTTGAGAGAGGGCACTAAAGAATATGCAGAACAGGCCAGGCACTCTGTCTCTCAGCACTCTGGGAGGCTGAGGTGGGCGGATCACCTGAGGTCAGGAGTTCGAATCCAGCCTGTCCAAAATGACAAAACCCCATCTCTACTAAAAATACAACAATAACAAAAACATTAGTTGGGTCTGGTGGCAGCTGCCTGTAGTCCCAGCTACTTGGGACGCTGAGGCGGGAGAATTGCTTAAACCTGGGAGATGGAGGTTGCAGTGAGCTGAGATCACGCCATTGCACTCTAGTCTGGAAAACAAAGTGAGACTCCATCTCAAAAAAAAAAAAAAGAGCCGGTTGCGACGGCTCACACCTGTAATCCCAGCACTTTGGGAGGCCAAGGTGGGTGGATCCCTTGAGGTCAGGAGTTCAAGACCAGCCTGGCCAACATGGTGAAACCTGTCTCTAGTAAAAATACAAAAATTAGCCAGGCATAGTGGCATGTGCCTGTAATCCCAGCTACTTGGGAGGCTGAGGCAGGAAAATCACTTGAACCTGAGAGGCGGAGGTTGCAGTCAGCCAAGATCACACGATTGCACTCCAGTCTGGGTGACAGAGCCAGACTCAAAACAACAAAAACAAAAACGAAAACAAAAACAAAAAAAACAATAACAGCAGCATAGTAAGAAGCCCTGGAAAGTGCAAGTGCTTTTGCACCCATGAGCTCCTTTGCCAACCACAGTCTGGTCTGCAGGGCTTTCTTCCAAGTAGACTGCACTGGTGGCATTGTGTTTCGTGACAGTTTTGTTTTGTTTTTTCCCTTGGAGACATTTTGATGAATCTAGGCTTTTGGCGGTTTTCACTGATCTTTAGGCTCTCTGTGCTCCCTGCGGTCTGAGGATCAGACAAGCGGGTTATGTCAGACTGACATGAATTGAAACAGGTTTCCTGAGGTCTCTTTGGCCTAGAGAGCCCTGCTGGTGGTCTTGCCCCCTGCCAGGTGGATACTAACGCTCAGGAAGCCACTCTCAGGATGCAGCCTCTGGGTAGGCCCCGCAAAGGCCTCCGCAGAAAGCTTTGTGGACAGACGCCCCTGCAGGATGCCCCGGAGAGCAAAGAAAGCAAAGGGAAGCTGCAGCCCAGCTCCTCCACTCCCAGAGCCTGGTGAACATGTGCTCTGAAGGCACCAGAGCTTCGGGAACCTGTGTATGAGGACCCCAAGTCTTTAACCTTCATGCCACTTAGCACTAAATGCCAAAAAAAAAAAAAAAAAAAATGCCAATACAAGAACCAAGGATGGGAATATAACATATGTAGCAAGTGAACAAGTTTGCAGAGCTAGGGATCTGCCTCTCGCCAAGTCCGTAGCTTGGCCGGGAGCTGGGTCATATTCATGTTGGTGCCCTGCTTCGGCTACACTGGCCCCTTTGTCCCTACTACCATCTCTCTTATTCACCTCCCACAGCAATTTGTACAGGTTACACCTTACTGTCCCACTTGTAGGGCGAGGTCAGTAAGGCTCAGCAAGGTAAAAATCAATTTGCCCAAAACCATGCCCCACAGTTAAGGACTGGGGTTGCCCCTCTGGCCCTGGAACCAGAGTCTCTGCTGCGTGTTCCTGTCTCCTAGTGTGTCGGGGTTACCTTTGTTTTTTTTGTTTTTTGTTTTTTTTTTTTGAGATGGAGTCTCGCTCTGTTGCCCAGGCTGGAGTGCGGTGGCGCGATCTTGGCTCACTGCAAGCTCCGCCTCCTGGGTTCACGCCATTCTCCTGCCTCAGCCTCCCGAGGAGCTGGGACTACAGGTGCCCGCCACCATGCCGAGCTAATTTTTTTCTGTTTTTAGTAGAGACAGTGTTTCACCGTGTTAGCCAGGATGGTCTCGATCTCCTGACCTCGTGATCTGCCCGCCTCGGCCTCCCAAAGTGCTGGGATAACAGGCGTGAGCCCCCGCACCCGGCCCGCCTTTGTTTTACTAATAACAAGGTGTCACTGGGTCACTGCTACTTGGCGCAAGGCATTTTTTACATTTATTAGATTTTCCTTTTTAAATTGAAACATAAAAATTGTATATATTCATGGTATACAACATGGTGCTTTGATATATATACCCATTGTGAAACGGCTACATCAAGCTAATTTAGCTAACAAATGCATTACCTCACATACTTATGATTTTTTACTTATGATTTTGTATGATTTTTTAACTGAAGAATAAATACAAACTCCTTAGCATGGGATTCTGTTTGCTTTGTCCGCAACCTCCTTCTAATGGCATCCAGCATACCAAGGAGAAGAAAGAGGTGCAGCCTGGAGAGGAAGATGGCCAAAAGTCTCCCTTTCCTATGACCCTGCTCCCCAACCACAGCAAGGGACCAGGTCATCAAAAACACAGGCTGGCCAAGCTCCACATTCTGGTTCATCTCACTGTTATCCAGATCCCTTTTTATCAACAGGAAACATCAGCTCTGCAGTAACGGTTATATGGTCCTGTAAGAACCAAGAAAGAGCAGCTAACTGGCCCATAAAGGGGATTGAACTCACATACTCAGCCTCATTAGGAACTACTTTCTAACCAAGAGATGCAAACAACTGGAGAAACATACAGGTGGTCTGCAGTTTCCACTTACAGCATTAGCAAAACAAAACACAATGAAATAAAAATAAAAGCCCTGTATTAAGAACTGACCTCTATCCCAAGAATGATGTTGATTGGATGTGAAGCTGTAATTTGTCCAGATGTATTTCTAAGTACATGTGACATGTCAGCTGCTTACAGATCATCGGCTTCCTCCTCACATATCCAGCACAAAATCAACACGAAGTGACAGAGGGAAGAAACAGCATTGTCTTGTGTTCTGCTTCCAAAACCACCTTGACAAGTCAACTGACAGCAGAAAAATCCCAGGCTCCGTGGAGGTTCCCGATTTTCATAACATTAGCCATGCATTTCAAGGAAATGCATTTCAAGATGATCAACAGTGAACTTGGCGAGGGAGCACTGGTTCTGTGCAGAAGCAGCAGAAATGTTCTTTGCCTCTCTTAACATTTTGTGGACTCTTACTGTCCAGTCTCATGAGTGGGAATTTAAGTGGGAATGAAATGTAATCTGGGTGGATTCCTTTAATCATATTGTGCAGGTAAATGTCAGCTGGCTTGGTACCCTATTCAGAATCCAGAAAAAATAAGAGGTTCAGGGAGGGAAACAGGGAGAGGAGGCAGAAGGAAGAGGGTCTGCCACAGCCCTTTCCTACTACAACACAAGTCTGTTCCTGGTCCAAGTCCCTGCAGAGAAGGCTTCCAATAGCAGCAGCCACTTTGGGCCATGCCAAATGACTGGGGAGCCACAAGGGCCTCTTGGGACTCCCTCAGGAAGGCCCCCACGCTCCAGGATCCAGCAACTGTCTGGCTGTCTTGTTTCTGTCCCCATGTGGAAGTTTCTCCCATGTAGGATTGGATACATTTACCAACTGGACACATTACTAGATTCACATGTTCTTCCTTTTCAAGTCATTAGTGCCCCATTATTTACTCTTGACACTTTTCAATTAGCAACCATTTCTGCAAAAGAGCAACTTCAAGAGAAATGCAAATGTATATTAGGGATGCCTGATGTTTTAAAACTCAAAATAAGCATAGCTTTATGGGGACCCATAGAACCACGTATTTTGAAAATATCTTAGTACTTTCTTGAATAGAAGTATGGTCATGAGAATAATAGCGTTGTTTTTCAGATGGTAAACATCAATATCGGCCGGGTGGGGTGGCTCTCACGCCTGTAATCTCAGCACTTTGGGAGTCCGAGGTGGGCAGATTCTGAGGTCAGGAGATCGAGACCATCCTGGCCAACATGGTGAAACCTCGTCTCTAGTAAAAATACAAAAAATAGCTGGGTGTGGTGGCATGTGCCTATAGTCTCAGCTACTCGGGAGGCTGAGGCAGGAGAATCGCTTGAACCCAGGAGGCGGTGGTTGCAGTGAGGTGAGATCATGCCGCTGCACTCCAGCCTGGGCAACAGAGTGAGATTCCATCTCAAAAAAAAAAAAAAAAAAAAAGATCAATATCAGTGTATACCCGCGGAACTGTAATACAGGCCGATCCCTAAGGCCTCCATGGTGTCTTACAGCCACACAGTGTGACACAATGACATGCGCCATCCTGGAGCAGGGCATCTCACCCTCCCCATTCTCTACGGTCTGTCTGGAGAAAGCTTTGTGGCGGCGCCTGTGCCCTGCAGGGTCTCCAGCAGCATCCCCGCTCCTGCCCACTAGATGCCAGCAGCCTTCTCCTACTTGGGACGACCAACTATGACTCCAACCATTGCCGAATGTCTGGCTGAGGGTGGGAGGTGATAGTGAGTGTCCCCCCATCCCCGGCCGATTGAGGAGCAGTCCTAGAGGTATTACTATGATCCCCAGGCTGCAGTCAATAGGAAGCCTCATGAGACACACATACTTGCCCAAGGTCACATACAATTAGTTCACTGTAGACAATGCAACGTCTACTGTGTGCTATGGAACAACCGGGAGGAAGGAGACGGAGCCCGCTCTAAGAGATGGTGCCCACTCTAAGAGCCCCCTTTTCTGATTGAGCTGGTAGCACAGAAAATGTCTTATAAAGCCAGGGCAGCCTAAGAAGCCGTGATCCCTGGAATGGGGCACCGCCAGATACAGTCTCCGGGTGGCCAAATGACTTCTCGTCACTGAAGTGCTTGCCCGGAGGCCTGAGCGATTTCCTAATCCTCTTGCTTAATGTCTTCTGAAAGGCTCATTTTAATAAGGGAATGAAGCTGTTTTAAGATAAGTTAGGTAGCTTATAATATGAAGTGCTAATCCCTAGCCTAGAAAAACGCAAAAGAAAAGGTTTTGACTAAATGTCTCTAGCTATAACCTGATGCTGTTCTAGGACCATTAGCATTTTTTTTTCCCTGGGCTGCCTCAGTCTTGACACTTCCTTATCTCTCTTCATTGGTGCGAACAATACCTGAGCTCTCCCTCACAGCAGCCGTCTCCCACAGACTCCCCTCGGATGTCCGGGTGGGCAGGTGGGGATGGAGTGAGCAGATCGGGGTTGGAGTTTGGTTATGCAACCATTGAGAAGTGAGATGAGTCTGCAGCTTCTGCCTCACTGTATGGATAAGTAAGTTGTTGTGTCCGAGGCTAGCACCCACGACAGTGGACACAGAGGTGGAGAAAGGGTATGTGGGAAGCAGCACTCCAGCTCTGTTCCTATCCCATGGGTCCTGAAGGAGCCTTTCGGTTTCCTACTAGATCTTACCTAGAACTATTTAGATTATACATGTAGTTTTGCAGTAAACCTAGCAACTTAAAGGAACTCATGATTCGTTTTTTATTTTGGAAGCTATGTCTCAGAATCTATGGGAAACCAATTACTTAGAAAACATGGAACTCTGGACTTTTTAATTGATCAAACACTAAAAGACAGTGAGCAAAAGTCCCAACCTAAGACAGCGGCACAGACATCGTGTAAGAGCAGCCGCTGGGATTCAGGGTCTCCAGCACACAGTGAGGAGAGGCCATGTCTCAGCTTCTCCATCCACTCAGTCAGATCATAAAACTGACCAGTTTTATGCACTGATCTAGGAGCCGAGAGGTTTGCTGTATAAATGCAAAGTAGTAATCCAAACACTTCTCCCTTAGTCGGTCTACACAGCCAAATAATCCCCCTCCAGAAAGGCAGTGGGGAAAAGCTCCTTCTTCCTTTGCAGGTAGAAGGCCTCACACATTCTCACTCTTAAACGGGTCAGGCTTCTAAGGCTTCCCATGGACCATATCTAATTTACAGGAAAAAGACTAGAGTACACAGCCCTGGTCTCCACAGTTTCAAAATAGCCTGCGGTAACTAGGCATTGTTATTATTTACCAGTTCTTATCCATAACTTGTTTGGGAAATGGTAATAAACTGATGCTCCGTTTGAATAACACCATCAATGAGGTAAGATACTTTATAATTATTCTTCTACCTGGGGAACACGCTCATTAGGAACAAGCCGGCTGGAAGCTTCAGATTGTTACATTGTAGACACTGCATTCTGCAAATTGCTGGAAGCACTGGGTAGAGGGAGGTTCATGTGTGAAAAATGAGGATGATGATATCCACAGGCAGAACAGTTTGAGGGTTTCAGAGAATGCAAGAAAAGCTGATGCTACACACGCCCTGGCTCTCAGGGTGGCTGCGATGGGAGGGGTCCCTCCCAGGCCAGGGCAACCATTCTGGGAGACAGCAAGTTTGCCTTGTTGTACCATTGCCTGCCTGGGATTTAAAGAAGGTCTGTGGGATGAGCCACCCCACCTAGCTACGTGATGACTGAACATGTAGCAAATAAGCCTGTGAGCACCTCCACCCCACCCCACCCCGGAGCACCCCCGTCAGCAGGCAGAGCTTGGCCTATACTCACTAGGCATCATTTCTGCCCGCTGTGGCCAAGTCGCTCTCCAGGGTAAGTCCGTCTCTTACTGATTTCACTAATTCTTTCTCCCCTCTGGAGTTTCAGGATACTGAAAACTACTCAGCAAATTCTTTAAAATCTGAAATACGACAGGAGTTAAATATGCTCTAAGGAAAAGGGGGAATCATTTTTATTTAGTATTTTCAAATAAATTAAAGACCTGGCTTATTTAACCCACAGGATGGGATGCTGTGACTGTCACCAATCCATGGGGCAAAAGGGAACTGACTTGAGCGTATGGTGAGAAGGAAGGGGGGCTTCCTGGGGCAGGGAAAATTGGAAAACAGATTCACGCAGAACCCCCACTCCACACCCCCTGGGAAACGTGCTTACCCCACTCTTCCGTACCCTTGTTTAATCTGTGACATTGTGATTGAAATTTGTCACTCTGGGAGTTACATCTGATGTTACAGCCTGCAGCGGAGCTAAACCAAAATAAACAATCTGCTCTATTCTGCTTAGACTAATACGACAGTGATGTAAGGCCCGAGACACTGGCAGCGGCAAAATGCTTTTCCCACACCGCATGCTGCAGCTGGGCCCCATGCGTTTCCACGCCGGGGATAGGCGGCACCGGCTTATCCACGCATGGGGAGGGTTGGGGAGGGGCTCAGGCACAAGTGCAAACTTTGCTTGTAGGCAACTGAGTTATCCTGTTTCTTCTATCAGCCGGCAGCACGTGCTCTTAAGGTGGACTTTTAAAAGCCTTTTTAATTTTATTTTCCCGGGCATGGGTGACCCCTGTCTCTCTAAGCCTGGAGGGTTTGCAAACACGCTAACTGGTGGTGGAAGTGTTCATTGCAGTTCACATAAAGGGTGTGTGGCTCCAGCACATATCGATTTGAAGCTGCCCACACAGACGCATTTTCAGTTGTCTTAAATTAAATACCCAATTTATTTTTTGGTACATATTTGGTTGCTTGCCAGCAAATGACTCTCAGTATATTCAATGGCTTTTTGCCAGAAAGATGACAGGCTTTTTTCTTTAAAAAGGGGGTGGCCCCTAAATAGCTTCCTTTCTGAAGAGCTCTTGGTGGCCCTCTGGTTTGTAGCAGCTAACTCGGAGTGCGGCCTTTTTACAGCCAGCTTTGGGGGTGCTAAATCTGTGCATTTTTCAAGCCTCAGTAGTTCTGGTCTCAATGCAGTAGTATTCGCTTGCTTTCTTTTCTCTTTTAAAATTTCCACACAGGGTCCTGAGAGCCCTGCCATATGTGGGCTACTCATCCCAGCAGCATGCAGAGGTTCTGCGATGCCAGTGGTCACAGGGAGTCCCCTCATCTGGTCATCCTTCCATCCAAGATCCCTGGCTCTGGATGAGGGGGAAATTGCCGTACATGATTCAGTTAAAATTCCAGCCTGAGTGGCCTCGATTAAATCCAGCCTCCTACATGCAATCAATTTTCAATTTTATCACCTCATACGAAGCAAAGCGTGAATGAGAGTTCAGGGAACTTGGATAGAGATAAAGCAGGGTCCTCTTTAATACACAGATGCTTGTTAAACCTGCTCATTATTCTACACTGTGATTTTCTACGTGTAAACCAGAGACGATCATAATTATCATATGCCTCTCCAGGATTTCTCCACGGAGAAAAACCTAAGAGTAAGTTCATCAAAATGGAAGGTAGAAAACAGGAAGAAGCTAAAATGTCATATCCAGGTGCAAACTAGAAGCCCCTCGTCCACCCTGGCCATGAGCTCCCTCCCTTCCTCTACTAAAGCATCCCCTGAACCGGGGAGAGGGACTCCACTTCCCAGTTCTTGGGCCTTCACTGCTCCCGAGCACAAGCCGTAAAATGACGGGAGCTGTGTGAGGTGCCAAGGTCTCAAATGAATGCGGGCAGCAGCACCTGTGAAGCTGATAAAACATCAGTTTGCATTTGGCTCACCTTGCAAGAGGGGGTTTTATGCCTCTCGTTTTCGCTCCGCTCCCACACTCCTGTCACCCAGCAGCTCACACTATAAAGAGCATCCCCTGCGCTCTGTCTTAAGGAATGGGCACTAAATAAAAGAGGCAGCATGGTGCTGTTAATTTTTCAGCATAGGGGACGCTCTGCCTGTGACACCAGATGGAAGAAAATGTCCTGTAGCCTCCTCCCCCCTCATCAATGCTCAGTCACACCTCTCTTTAAGCATCCTTCAGCTTTCCCGAGAAACTGGTGGAAAATGGTGTTGTCTGAAAATCTGGGAATTTTTCCCTTCCTCCTGCTAATGGCCTGGGTTGAATAAACATTGAAGAGGAAAATTTAGAAAAATGAAAGAGAGAAGAGAAACGCTCTACCCCTAGATGGGGCTACTGTCCGCAAGCAGAGTGTGTTTGTTTTTTAAAATTCAGTTCACTTACAGTGAGACTGAGATTAGGTATCAACAGAGAATTTACAATTTAAATCAAACTTTGACTCATTTAATTAAGTCTTTAGTCCTGTGAACCTCATTCACAGCCTTAGCATTGGGCTGCTCTAGGACTCCAATTGATAAACTTCTTAATTTCCTGGGTGTCTGGGTTTTTTTTCCTTTAAAAAAAAAAAAAACAACCCATACATCAAATCCAAACTGTTGAATAAACTACAAGGAAATAGTAGCCAGCAGCGAATGTTTATATGTTCCAGGGTAATAGATAATGAATAATAAGGGACTGAGGGTGAGGGTAGACTTAACAAAATGCTTGGAAAAGCCCAGGTGAGCTTCAATCTGTCCACTTGGGAAATAAGTCTGAAGAAGGAGAACTGCATTCCAATTAACATCTGTAATTTGCATTGTATGAAAGCACTAGAAAATAATAGTTTTGAGAGCTTTTTTAATGTTTCCAGAGGTAGGAGTACAGATAATCTTATTTAAGAAGCAAGCATAATAGGTCTTTCTGTCATTTCTGAGCTGCTGAATCATAGGAAGGACAGGAAACTCTACCTCAAGTCATGAGAAGAAAAGGTCTGCATGTGTCTCCTTAGCCTTAACCCCCTTGCCTAGGACAGAAAGCGGCTGAAGGAGGGCTCTGCCTCAAGTGTTTCTTAATCATTCCCTTCAGCAATGGTGCTGCTTTTGTTACATGACTGCTAAAAGAGCTGACGTGTCTGTATTGTGTACTGGGCACCATTTTACATACATTGACTCATCTGCTCCTTAAAACCATGCTATGGTTTAAGTATTATTACAATATTTACTAGAAAATTAAATAACTTGTAGAAACTCATGACCCAAATTTTTAAACCTTATTTTAGATTCTTCTAAGACCAGGGCAATTGTGAAAACTCAGTGTTACCCATAAATAAAACAGCGGGGCACTCTCCTTATCAGGAGGCAGTGTGCCTTAAAATCAGCTTTGAAGTCAAGCCAGACTTAGCTGCAAGTCCCCCCTCCATCACTGCAGGCTGCATGCCTTTGGGCAGGTCACTTCAGCCTTCCGAGCCTCAGGTTCCAAGTCTGTAAAATGGGTTAGCATCATTCCCATCTGGCAGGATTGTCATGGGGCTTAAATGAGATAACACATTAAAAGTGTTCAGGCCTCAGCCTGGATGTTAGCCCAGGTCTCGCAAATACAAGACCAGCCACCTTCCTCTTCCTCATCCTTAATGCTTCCTAATATTCTCTCTCACCTCCCACACTAGCAGCGCCATTGCAGGAACTGTCCCCGTCCCACTGCACTGGCTGGCCCAGTGCCACATACTGCAGGGAGGAGACACAAGCATGCGGCCCTGGGGAGCGCTGGTCTCTGCACAAACACGGCTCTTGCAGCTTTCACCCTGAGCTCGCCCTGCGCCAGGGCAGCCAGTCATCTTGACAAGAGCAAGGACCGAGTTATAGGTCAAGGTAAGTGGCAGAAGCAACTCACTTTGATCTGTAACTAGAGCTCAGGGAGTCCCATTCGACCCTGCAAGGGGCCTGACAAGCACAAGCCCCACCCAGGAGCCAATGTGTCTCCGCAGTGCTTGCTCTAGAGGAGGAGGGACTGGGCGAGGTGGGGGGAGGAGCAGCCTTTGGTTCAGAAGCAAAATAGGGGGAAAAAAGAGGCCCAGAAAGAAACAGAGAGGGGAGAAGAAGCGCTGTTAAGTGACAGAGCCACAAACAGAGCTCTCTTGTCTACTGAAGTGATGTAGGGGAACTGAGGTGGCATTGGAGATATGCCTCCCACAGTGAGAAAGATTGTACTGGGAAGAGATGGAGAGAAAGGTGCCCCTGAGGGAAGAAGGTAAGCCGGACACTGAGACAAGAAACCAGGAAGGCTGAGGGAGCGCCTGGAGCTGGGATGGGCTCACTCCAGGTATACAATGTGCACGTGGGGATAAGGCTGCACTAAGTCGGGGGTCACGGCTAGTAATAATAAGCAAATCACTGGGAATTACTCTCTGGGTAGGCACAAGTGAGGCCTCTCAAACCACCCTGACGTTCAGGGTGAGGGCTGGAGCTCTCTGCTCCTGACAGGGAGCACAGCACTGCATCCTCGCAGCCCAGGAAAGTTCTGGCCCATTCGAGGAGGTAGCCGGGGGTCCCACTGACTCTGGAATGCTTGGGGCTCTATTTTAGTCCTTGGAACCCCAGGAGAGTCAGATCCCTCGTCTGCAAAGCTCTAGATATCCCTGTCCCTTGATTTTTCTTGAATCAGGAATGTCCTCTAATTTCAGAAATTAATTTGAACAATTTAAAGCCTTCTGGGATTCAGAGGAGGCAGCTTGGATGCTACGTGGAGCTACAGGAGGGGCGCAGCCAATCAGCCACTGATCTTCACTCCTCAGGAACACACGGAAAAAAGTCCACTGAGCAAATCAGAAGGCACATACCCGTGTGCAAATACACAAAATGTATCCTATTATAAAATTTTATTAGCAGTGACAGTTTTAAGGGAGCTTTAGCAATATTTCAAGCTCTGGCATCAAAATCTGACATATTCAATTTTGCTTTTATCAGGTTATCTGATGACATTTCTGCAAAAGAGGCACTCGCCCATCTCAGGCTCGCCCCTCCTCTGCTGGGCAACACTTGCCTACAGTTGGCGGAGCCAGCATGGACAGCATCTCTCTTCTTCTGCTGAGGAACAAACAAGGGTTCAACCCTCAACACACAAAGACCACCAGCACTGCTTGCCCTTTCATTTTATAGCAAGCTCATGTCTAAAGAAACCCGTAGGCTCGTGGGCAGGGGACCAAATGGCAAGTGCAGATAGTGTCATTACAGAGGACTGGTGAGCTCTGCAGATGGCATCTGGGGCATCACAGGTGACAGGCAGGCTGTTGTGGGGCCCTGCGTGTTTGTGCATTATTGCAAAGACCGGGAATCAGCAGCTAAAGTGCATCTACCTGGTTAGGGGGCAGCCTGCCCTGGACAGCTGAGAGCTGGGAAAGCCATCTCGAAGATTGCCACATCACAGGAGAAAAGCCCCATCCATTCCGCTCTTTCTTTTTAACAAGTTCAGGGGTACATGTGCAGGATGTGCAGGTTTGTTACATAGGTAAATGTGGTCATGGGGGTTTGTTGTACAGATGATTTCATCACCAGGCATTAAGCCTAGTACGTGTCAGTTATGATTTCTGAGCCTCTCCCTCCTCCCACCCTCCACCTTCTGCCAGGCCCCAGTGCCTGTTTTTCCCCTCCAGTGTATGTGTCCATGTGTTCTCACCATTTAGCCCTCACTTATAAGTGAGAAAATGTGGTATTTGGTTTTCTGTCCCTGTTTTAGTTTGCTAAGGATAATGGCCTCCAGCTCCACCCATGTCCCTGCAAGGGAAATGGTCTCATTCTTTTTTTTGGCTACATGGTATTCCACATGGTATATACGTACCACATTTTAGAAATGCAAATCAAAACCACAATGAGATACCATCTCACACTGGTCAGAATGGCTATTATTAAAAAGTCAAAAAAAAACAGATGCTGGTGAGACTATGGAGAAAAAGGAATGCTTATACACTGCTGATGGGATTGTAAAAAAAGTTCAGCCACTGTGGAAGACAGTGTGATGATTCCTCAAAGACCTAAAGGCAGAAATACCATTTGACCCAGCAATCCCATTACTGTGTGTATACCAAAAGGAATATAAATCTTTCTATGACAAAGACACATGCATATGTTTGTTGCAACAGTATTCACAAAGCAAAGCCATGGAATCAATTTTTCTTAATAAATGAATCCAGGAACAAAAGAGAAGGCTCCATGAAACCCATTAGGTGCACAGCAAGAGGGTGAGGAGGTTAAGAGGGAATGAGCATATCTCCTAATGACAGAGTCTCTCCTTGACCCAACGTTAGTCAGGCTCTTCTGAATCCTCTTCCTATCTGCCATGACTTTTAGGCTTTCTTTTTCCTTTTTTTTTTTTTTGAGACAGGGTCTCACTCTGTTGCCCAGGCTGGAGTGCACTGGCGTAATCTCTGCTCACAGTAAACTCCACTACCCAGGTTCAAGCTATTCTTGTGCCTCAGCCTCCTGAGTAGCTGGGATTACAGGCGTGTGCCACCACGCCCAGCTAATTTTTGTATTTTTATTAGAGATGGGGTTTCACCATGTTGGCCAGGCTGGTCTCGAACTCCTGACCTCAGGTGATCTGCCCACCTCGGCCTCCCAAAGTGCTGGGATTACAGATGTGAGCCACCACGCCTGGCCCACTTTTAGACTTTCTTATCCATCTTTGCATCCCTCAATTTTAGCAAGATCTGGCTAAGTTGGTTTACCTTCAATATCTGATCACCCTTGATATAAGATTGGTTTCTTCATTCCCTGCCATCTTCCAGGTGACATCTGATCACCTCGGCCTGCCTACAGCAAGAATCCTATTGGCAAATAATTACTTTGCCTTCTGAGTAATTTTCTATCCAACAACCCCCAACCACTCTGTCTCATCCTGCTCTTGGACTACAAATCCCCAATTTTTCCTTATTGTATTTGGAGTTGAGTCCAATCTCCTTCCCCTGCTGCAAAACCCCATTGCAGTAATCCCCTCCAAATAAAGCCTGCCTTACTGTTCTTTAACAAGTGCCAGGAATAATTTTTAAGCACTAACCCAAATTTCTTTCCTGTACTCCTTACAACAAGATGTAAGGAGCACACTCGGCTTGTCCTCAGGTTGCATTTATTAAACAAAAGCTAAAATCCCCCTTTCAAATATGAGAACATAAAGCATATAAGAGAGAAGTGTTTCCTGGGTGATCCAAATTAAAAATAAGAGCCATGGGCCAGGTGTGGTGGCTCACTCCTGTAATCCCAGCACTTTGGGAGGCCAAGGCAGGCACACTTAAGTTCAGGAGTTCAAGACCATAGTGAAACCTCGTCTTTACTAAAAATACAAAATTTAGCTAGGCACCTGTAATCCCAGCTACTTGGGAGGCTGAGGCAGGAGGATCACTTGAATCTGGGAGGCAAAGGTTGCAGTGAGTGGAGATGGCACCACTGCACTCCAGCCTGGGCAACAGAATGAGACTCTAAAAAAAAAAAAAAAATAGCCATGGGCAAGAGAGACATGTCCTTGCTGATTTCTCCCCTTGAATCTGGCCCACTGAGGACACCTCTTCCTTCTCTTTTTTTTCTTTTTCTTTTTTTGAGACAGAGTCTCGCTCTGTCACCCAGGCTGGAGTGCAATGGCACGATCTCAGCTCACTGCAACCACCACTTCCAGGGTTCACACGATTCTCCTGCCTCAGCCTCACAAGTAGGTGGGATTACAGGTGCCTGCCACCATGCCTGGCTAATTGAGATGGGTTTTCACTATGTTGGCCAGACTGGTCTCAAACTCCTGACCTCGTGATCTGCCCTCCTCGGCCTCCCAAAGTGCTGGGATTACAGGCGTGAGCCACTGCACCCCGCCTCTTCCTTCTCTTTATTCTGCCTGAGGATGCACGTTCTCTTTTGACAGTTTCAGCGGATTGAGGCTGAATGTTAAGTTTTCTGCCAAAATGGGTTCAGTATCTTGTCAGCTATTTCCTCTGCTGAAACGAACTTTCATCTTTAATCTACTCAGGAGTGCTATGTATGACAGGCGATCCTTGGAGGAGAGAAGTCTGAGGGACAGCCTGCTACTGTATTTAAATTGGCTTCACCCAGACAGATAAATACAAAGATAAGGTTAATAAGGGTTAATAATTTATAGTCAGAAAAGTTTAAGAGGATTGCATAATTTAAGCCTCCCGTGAAGGCCCCAAACCAAACTCTATATTATTATCCTGAAGCCGGGTCTACTCCGTGACTCTCCTTCTGAATAACAGCCCCTCATGAGTCTCCCAGATACCTGACCTCAAAACCACAGAGCCACTGAAGCCACCTTCTGTCTCCTTCTCCATCTTCTCTGAGAGACAGCTGGTTAATCAGGTCAAATTATTCTTATCTGATTATTAGTCATTAGCAGTTATAGTTATTCTCTAGTACCTTCCACATTTGTTCTTATTTTTATTCTCACTTGGATACTTAAGAATAAAATTCTTCTGCTTATTTTGTTTGAATCCGTGGATTTTAAGAATTATTCCTGGCTGGGCGCAGTGGCTCACGCCTATAATCCCAGCACTTTGAGAGGCCAAGGAGGGGAGATTACTTAAGGTCAGGAGTTTGAGACCAATCTGGCCAACATGGTGAAACCCCATCTCTACTAAAAATACAAAAAGGAATTAGATAGGCATGGTGGCGGGCACCTGTAATCCCAGCTACTTAGGAGGCTGAGGTAGAAAAATTGCTTGAACCTGGGAGGCGGAGGTTAGAGTGAGCTGAAATTGTGTCACTGCACTGCAGCCTGGGCAACAGAGCAAGCCTCCATCTCTAAATAAATTCATTCATTCATTCATGCATTCATTCATTCCATAGTACAGCTACGATCATGTTGGTGCCCCATTCAAACTCAGTTTGCATCGAGGGTGAATCTCCCTCCCCTCCCTAGGATCCCTGTTGGGATCTCTGGAGATGGTAACCTGCGTGGAAGGCTCCAGGCTCTGGTCCTCACCCTCTCTGTGAATTCCACTTGAAAGCCTTTCTGCCTACGTGAAGATGCAGATGAAGGACCCGAGGCTTAAGGCAACAAGAAAATTTAGAATAGTTAGCAGCCGAGATAATGAATAAGAATTTTCAGTAACTTCTGGGCAACATAAAAGTGGAGTGCTCAGTCTGCAATTTTTGCCCCATCACCTTTAATAAGCATGAAGCAAAATGAACAAAAAGAATATTAAACTTTTAAAGACTAAAAGATCTTTCAAAATATATTCCTCGCTTATAATGGTGGCAATGACCCTTTCCCTTTGTTACCTAGCTGAAAAAAAATTACAAAGTCGCATCAAAAGCAGAAATGAACATTGCAGAATGGGAGTAGAATAGTTTGCCTCCAAGGAAAGTGATTGAAAGTTGATTATCCGGTTTGTTAAACAGCTAACATTGAACCCTGTGGTCGGGTTTTGGGTGAAGACTCTAAGCCTGAAAGGCCATGGTCAGGGTCTCTCTACGGAGCTGGACGGTTGGACTTTCTGCTGTCGTGGCAATGTTCTGTATCTACTCTGTCCATATCCTGGCTACTGGCTGCATGTGGCTGTTGAACCACAACTGAGGAACTGAGTTTTTGTTTTATTGAATTTTAATTAATTTTTAAGGCTAATTTAAAGAGCTACATGCTGCTAGAAGCTACCACATTGGACAGCACAGAATAAGGCATTCATGCTGCTCCACCTTTCCCCGATTCTTGTTCACAAGGTCAGAGGTTGAGGAAATGTCAATGCAAAACAGAAGGGGGTATAAGGCAGCAGGACAGACCCTCCACCCCCACCCCGGAAGCAGAATCACACGCTTCGCTTCAGGCCTGCCTGCCTCCTGGTGTGCAATGCTGATGTCAGCCGTGGAGTTGGCGTATGTGTTCTGTGGAATATCTCATAAGTTAAGGAGTCTATAATTAGTACTGGGAATCTAAATAATAATCATGATAACAAGAACTAACCTTGATAGAGCGTTTACTAATAGAAAGTCCTTTACACAGGTACAAACCAGTTGGGTAGCTTTATGTAAATGAGCGGGACAGAGGCCTAGAAAATTCAAACAGCTTGGCCAAGACCATAAGATTAATAAGTGGTAGAGTCAGAACTTGAACCTACTTCTCTCTGACTGAAAATCAATCAACTCTTAAACAGTAAACATTTAAAGTGGGATTGTGGCTCAGCTGCTCAACCAGTGGACCAAACAACTAATTCTCTGAGACCCTGGGCCACCAGTAGATGCCCAGGACAGCAAGAGCCCCTGGCCAGTAGCCTCTAGGCTGGTGGCGTCTGTCCAGAAGCAGCAGTATCTCTCCACCACAGTGTGCCCTACAAATATCATCACTGTCTTCACGTGGAACGAGGAAAAAATGTCTAGGAAGCACTGAACGACATTCTAAGGAAAACCATGTGGGTCATTCCCAAAGAGCTGGTCATGAACAAGACCCCAAGGATGCTAGCACACCATTTGACTGACTCCAAGAACAGTATTGGAGGCAGGAAAATGTCCTCACGTGCCACAAGATTTTAAATTCTAATTTGCAGTAGAAGGAATTATAAATAGGACAAAGTCAGAAATCACCCCAATTTTTGCATAGCCAGGGTCGGTTAAATTCATGAATAATGATGAGAAAATGAAGACCCTAGGATTAAAGTGGTAGCTTAGTTTCCGTAAAGACATTAAAGATATATACATCTCAGTAAAGAAGCTTCCTAACACTGTCATTCTCAGACAATGGTCAAATCAGGTGTTTCCACATGGCTTCTTAGAGCAAAGTTTCTTCAGGACAATGGGACATTTGTAAAAGAGACCCAAGCTTTGATCTGATCCATGACAGGGAGGCTGCTGGTATTCACTGAGTCTGTCGCCACATCAACCTGGTGAAGGCTTGGGCAGCACCTGTCAATCCGACACGAAGAGGTGTTCCATGAGTTTAATGGACACCGTGTGCCAACTCCATTTTAGGTTATTAATATCAATTGGAGGGAAAAGAGGAAAACGGGGAGAGATTGCTCAATAGTGGATTTTAAAAGTCTTTTGTTGCATCTTGCTGAATTTGGTCCCAACTTCCCTCATCTAACAAAAGATAAAAATAGGCTCCAAGGCTGTTATGCTGAGAGTTAACATGAGGGAGGACTTATCCCTCATTTTCTTGATATCTATCCCATGTGAAGAGAAGTTTTGTAACTGTGAAATGATATCTAATGCGGGTTCTAATATAGAAACATATTTCTTCCAATGTCTCACACTCCCTTTCATTCGAGCGACCAAGTCCTGCTCACATATAATTTTATTAGAACTTTTCTCAAGGGTTACTATTAATACTCAGAATACCAATAACAACTATAATGTATTTACCACATACCAGGTAATAGGCTATTTTACATAGATTATCTTAGAATTTCCCTAAAGCCCTTGAAAGATAATTATTATGCTCTTTATGCAACAGATTTGTTCACTCATTCATTCAACGCATATTTATTGAGCACCTGCCCAACAGCAGTGGGCATTTCTTACCCGTTGCTGTTGGGAGCACAGGGCCCAAGCAGGCTCCCTGTCCCCAGTGAGGAAAATACAGGTATATCCAAAGGATTACATCATAGTTCTTACATAAAATTATTCTGTTACCATATGCTCACATGACAATACTGCTTCTTTACAAAATGGTATCTGCGTGAGTGAAAAACAATTCAGGGTGGGTGGGTGGGAGACTCGGGTCTTGTGTCTCCAGATTTGGGTCCCACCTTACCAAATTCCATCATGTAGAAAAAGAAAATTCCTCAATGTAATTGCTCCTGTGTTGATATAATTGATATCCTTCCAGAGGAGGAAAACCTAGTTTTTAATCTATTTTGCATTGTTCACCTTCTCAGCACCACATACTTAGAATAAGCAGGAATGATGGCTCTATCACTGTACCATGAGGAGATGAGACTATGGATGCTGTGCCAGGGTCTGTAAGACTTTTAAACAAGAGCTTTGTTTGATTCCATTATTAATCTCATCAGAGAGAGGCCCAAAAGTCATTTAAGATTTGGTTACTGGGCCAGGCACGGTGGCTCACACCTGCAATCCCAGCACTGTGGGAGGCCGGGGTGGGCAGATCAAGAGGTCAAGAGATCGAGATCATCCTGGCCAACATGGTGAAACCCCGTCTCTACTAAAAATACAAAAATTAGCCGGGTGTGGTGGCGGGTGCCTGTAGTCCCAGCTACTTGGGAGGCTGAGGCAGGAGAATTGCTTGAACCAGGGAGTTGGAGGTTGCAGTGAGCGGAGATGGCGCCACTGTAGTCCAGCCTGGTGACAGAGCAAGACTCTGTCTAAAAAAAAAAAAATTTGTTACTGAATGTGGGTTTGAATGGGTTAAAAAGCTGGCACAGAAATGCAAAAAACTACCGATTTTCTCTAAGGAGACTATCAGAAGAAATGCAACTTTGTCCTGCCTTGCCCAAGGGCAGAGAAGGTTGCAGACATCCTCTCCCCTCCTCAGCTGTCTACATCAAGTGGTTGAGGGGTGGGTATTTTGTGGCATGAATAAGAGGATTATTGTGCAGCAAACACTTGATTTCTAAGCATTTTACCTGTACTTTTTTAGATTTTAGTCTTTGCCTTTTTTTTTTTCCTATTTGTTTCCCACTTAGTACCTTAGAATTTGCCTTTTTAATGCAAAATTAGCATAGTAAAAAAATTGAATCCGGGGTGCATCACTTAGAAAAGTTAAAGAAGATTTTCAAAATTAATTGTTGACAAGACTCAGCAAATATTTGCTGAATACCTGTTATGTGCCAGGTAATGTCATAAACCCTAGGCATAGGACTGGGAACCAGGTCCTCTCTTCTTGGAATTCACATTCTATTTCACAAGGGTTGGGAAAGAGGAAGAAATACAGAATGGAAACTCTGCCCTGAGCACAAAACCTGTGCATTTGGTTAGAAGAAGGCTGGTGCTCTGCACACAGGGGCCTAAGAGAGGAATATGAGGTAGTGGAGCTCTCAGTGACCTCGCTGTTAGAGCTGTAGGGAAGATTTAGGTCACCGCCTTATCTTACAAGTGAGGAAACTGATACCAAAAGAGACTGGAATTATTGTCTGAGGTCACCCAGGCTGTCCCACTGGATGTCAGGTACCGCCTCTTCAGGACTATTCATTAGCATTTGTGAAAGTCAAGATATAACAGCATATTTCGCCTTATTTCTTTCTTTTCCTCTTTATGTTGTATTTTTCTTTTTGGGTCATTGTTTTGCATTAATGTTCATAGACAATTTTTCACCATTTATGTAGGATTAGTTCTCATTGAAATATTAATTCCACATTTTCAATAATTTATATGATTTGATGTCACAAATATCTGGATAATTTGATATAGCATCAAAAAAAGGCTTTCTCTACCTTCATGTATTATCATATAATGCATTTTCTTATCATAGGGAAATCAAAATGTGTCTCTCTAATTCCTTTTGGTTTTTTAAATTTTATGAGTTTAACATGCGTGATATATAAATCACAGTCAAACATTTTCTTCTTACCTCATCTGATTTCGTTTGATAAAATCAACTCCATCTATATGTATGTCTTTTAGAAATACGTCTCAGTTTTTCCCAAATGGGTATGTCTTACATCTAATGCGTGAGAAAAAATTCCAGTAGCACCTCCCTGGGGAATCTGAACTAGGCCCTGGTTATGCTAATAGAAGCCAAGAGGTTTTCAAAGCAAAAGAACTATAATAAATTATTCATAAATAGGTCTCTCTCTTGATGGTTTTGGTGTTTCCGAATTTTCCAGACCATAGAGGATATGTGAAACGATACATGCACGCTAAGCTGAAGATGTTACAGAGGGAAATGGGAATTGAAAACTAATTGGAATTTTAAAGCATTGCATTTTTGCATTTGGTACACTTTCTGGAGCTGGTTTGGGCATGGACAAGACCCAGGAGCCTGCTTTTCTGGTGGTCCTTGGTGACTACGGATATTTTTAACAGGCAGGGACTGGTTTCTGAGGAAAGTGTGTCCCAGTTCCCAAAGGAAAATGACTCCTCAGTGACTGTTAGCCCTCGAGGCAGTTCCAGATGAGGTGCTAGACTTAATTCAGGTTGCCAGTCTACAGAAATGAAGACTTTACTTGGCATACTGCTCGTTTGCACTTGGTTTGTCAGACTCTCTACCTCCTCTTCCTTCTTTTTCTTAAACTTGTTTTTCAGTTTGTTCCTCTGGGTCTCTACATTGCCAAACCCAAGGGCACCTCCTAGTCTGCGTGACGGACCCCCACGCCTGGTCCAGTCCACAGGTGCCATGGTTTTGTTGTACCTGCCAACATTTCAACTGTTTTAGAATTCTTTTTTGTCTTAATGGGTGTTGACAGGTTTTAAAATGTTTCCTGCTTATTTCTACTTGCAATTTTCTGATCTCTGTAATTTAAACTAATTGCATCTACTTTGTTATTTATTCCATTTTTTGTACTCATTTAATAGAAAAAATAATAATTTCTTCAACTTCAGTCTTTTGTGTTTGCCGAAACCCACCCTGGCCTCACATGTTCAAGTTAAGCCCTGCCCCCACCTTCCTCACACTCCCATAGGGTCACAGACCATGCACTGATTTACCTGCCTTTAGGAGCCCCCAAACTCCTTCCTTTTGAGATTTTTCTTTGTAATGAATGTCCTCGCCATGATCACAACCCAAATAAAAACTCTTCAGTCGTCTGCTGTATTTTGTCTTTAACAGTGAACAGAATTCAATTCGAATTTTGGGTTCACATTTAGTCTTATAATTTAAGAAAGAATAGGAAAAAACGGAGAGCAACTTGATTTGAAAAAGACAAATCTGAGGCGGGTGAGAGATTCTAAGTCCTGATGTGCTTGGAACAGTCCAGACCTCTGTCAATTGTCCCAGCAAAATTATTACCAGCACCCCCTTTTACACTCAGAAGATCCTGGTCTAGATGAAGAATCATATGTGCGTCAGCTATTTTCGCTACCGTAAAGCCCAGCCCAGCACAGTCCCAAGGATAGAGTAAGCAGCCAATATACATTTACTGAGTTAGGAATAAAAAGATGCCAGCGGTCACCCTCCTTCCCTCATGGTGGGAGCCAGGGAAGCTGACGCTACTACAAAGCTATGGCGTCACAGGTACTGGACACTGGCTAGTCACATATTTATATGACTCCTGGAAGACAGCCATGAGTAGATGGCTATTATCCATATTTTAATAATATCTGCTAAGAAAAATAACAATTTTGAGATAGCACTTGTGGAATGAGTCCTCCATATTTAATGAACCAGGGAAACATAAGGGAAAGGTTAAACAATTCTATGAAGCCAGGCGCGGCAGCTGACGCCTATAATCCCAGCACTTTGGAAGGCTGAGGTGCGTGGATCACGAGGTCAAGAGATAGAGACCATCCTGGCCAACATGGTGAAACCTCATCTCTACTAAAAATACAAAAATTAGCTGGGTGTGGTGGCGCGGCTGTAGTCCCGGCTACTTGGGAGGCTGAGGCAGGAGAATCGCTTGAACCCGGGAGGCAGAGGTTGCAGTGAGCTGAGATTGCACCACTGCACTCCAGCCTGGTGACAGAGCGAGACTACGTCTCAAAAAAAAAAAAAAAAAAAACTCTACAAAATAGGAGAAATATCTAAAAGTTTTTTTCTTGTTTGTCTTTATGAAGGGCTTCTTCCCGTTCAGTAATAATTTCCCTTGCAATGGAGCAAAACTTGAGACAATAAGGGACTCAGGAATGTGTTGAAAGCTCATGAGGAATTTAGTCTAATTCCTTCATTGTGAGTTGCTGGCATTCTACTCCATTTGCATTCAGCCTCCTGTTACCACCAATGCTCCCCATCAGTAACAGTCATACTAATGTGGGGTGGAATGAGAAACTCTCAGTGCTTCCAATGCTATAACCACTTGCCTATCCCAGTTTCCAATCTCCTTTAAATACTGGGGATGTTAAAGGTAACTGAGTTTATGCCTTGGATTGTCTGTGAAATCGTAGGAAAATACATGTGATCTTCCAATGCCCCAGTACTTACAAATAACGATACTTTATTGCCATGGATTTAACGTGTCCTCCAAAGTTCCTAAGTTGGACACTTAATCCCTGATGCAACAATGTTGAGAGATGGGACCTTTAAGAGGTGATTAGGTTATGAGGGCTCTGCTCTCATGAATGGATTAATGTCGTTCTCATGGGAGTGAGTTCCTTATCAAAGGATGCATTTGGCCCATTTCTCTTTCTCTTTCTCTCTCTCTCTCAGTCTCTTGCCCATGTGATGTCTTCACCATGTTATGAATCAGTAGGAAGACCCTCACCAGATGCAGGCCCCATGATCTTGGACTTCCAGACTCCAGAACTATGAGCCAAATAAGTTTCTGTTAATTATAAATTGCCTAGTCTGTGGTATTCTATTATAGCAGCACAAAAGAGAATAAGCCGATTACTATATTATGTTTCAGAAGCTTTTCAAGAATCACTCTTATATTATGCACAAATAATGTGTTTTGTTTGTTTTTTTTTTGAGACAGAGTCTCACTCTGTTGTCCAGGCTGGAATGCAGTGGCGTGATCTCAGCTCACTGCAATCTCGGCCTGATGGGCTCAAGTGATTCTCGTACGTGCCTCAGCCTCCTGAGCAGCTGGGACCACAGGCTCCCACCACCATGCCTGGCTAATTTTTGTATTTTTGGTAGAGACAGGGTTTCACCCTGTTGGCCAGTCTGGTCTCGAACTCCTGACCTCAGGTGATCCACCCGCTGAAGTCCTGGGATTACAGGTGTGAGTCACCGCACCTGGCCCAAATAACGTGTTTTTAATAGTTACTGTGGGCCAGGTGCAGTGGCTCACGCCTGTAATCCCAGCACTTTTGGAGGCCGAGGCGGGCGGATCACCTGAGGTCAGGAGTTTGAGACCAGCCTGGCCAACATGGCGAAAACATATCTCTACCAAAAATACAAAAATTAGCCGGGCGTGGTAGCACACACCTGTGGTCCCAGCTGCTCAAGAGGCTGAGGCAGGAGAATCTCTTGAACCTGGGAGACAGAGGTTGCAGTGAGCTGAGATTGTGCCACTGCACTCCAGCCTGGGTGACAGAGCAGGACTCCGTCTCAAAAAAAAAAAAAAAATTAATTGTTACTGTGAGGAAGATGATAGCCACAGAGGGAATTTTTTAAATAAACAACCTTTCAACAGGAAGACAGAGAAGAAATATAAAACACAATCACATGGGAGGCTGAGATGGGAGGATCCCTTGAGGCCAGGAGTTTGAGACCAGCCTGGACAACATAGTGAGACTCCATCTCTACAAAAAACAAACAAAGAAACAAAATGAGCCAGGTGGTGGTGCAAGCCTATAGTCTTAGCTACTCGGGAGTTGGAGGCGGGAGGATCACTTGAACCCAAGAGTTTGAGGCTGCAATGAGCTATGATCACATCACTGCACTCCAGCGCGGGTGACAAAGCAAGGCTCTGTCTCTAAACCACACACTCAGACACATATGCCATCACACACACACAATCACAAAGCATCAGTCAGGAAGGCCAGCAAGAGCAGAACACAGAATGTTAGGATTTCAAGGTAGAAGCTCAACACTCAATTCAAGGTAAACTTGATAAGAATTTGCAACAAGACCAATGATCTGCTAGGTATTATAATGAATAGAAAAGCAATATGGGGTTCTGGCTGTAAAGCAACTGAGCTTTTTTGAAGAAACATTAAATGCACACATAAAACCCCTGAATGTATGTCAGCAGATGACGAATGGCTCTAAAGTGGTATGGAATAAAAAGGAAAAATCATGAAAAAAGAAGGCCCACCAAATTGGAACATCTACTTGGAAAACTTGAGAAAGAACAGTTTTGGTTGGGAGTCAAGTGCAGTTAACAGGATTCAGAGTGAGCACCGCGTGGGCCTCTGAGGTCAGAAACCAGAGGGAGGCCAGAGAAATGAGATGAGCTACAAAGTGCCTCAGGAAAGAGACAGCTGGGACCAGATGACACACACACCATGGCCTGTTTTTATGTTTTATGTCAGTTTTAAGAGACACTGGGATTTTCCTAAAACAATATATATTTGATGGAAAAGTGCTGTCCATTTCAGTAGCAAAATCACTTTATTATATTGCTGGGAAAACTTGAGAACTGAAAGTTGGAAGACAGCAGGTGGAGGTTATAAATTTGATATTAATATGGCAATATGGAGTGAGATTTATGGGCTCTGATAGAATGTGATCTTTTACTGAAAACTGTTTTTACTTTCTTATATGTATCTCAGTGATTTGACCCTGGTTTTATGTGAATATTGTTTTAGGGGATGTAGTTTTCTGAATACAATTTATTTTATTCAAATGACTGCTTACGGATAGATAGCTATGGACTAGTGCGGCTACAGTTTCAATAAACAGTCCAATAACATTGGAAGATAAGTTTTGAAAGACTGTAAGAAGCCAAAGAATAAGTTTAGACAATTACATATTTGGATATAATTGCTTTTGAAGTCAATATTCAATTTTAAACTGTTTAAGATAATATGTTTTTGCTTTTATCTAAAGTATATGAGAGACTTACACCAAGCACTAAACTGAAATTGTGGTATGCAACATGACTCTACTTAACAGAGCTAGGAATACTGTCAGTTTGCAAAGGTAAAATTACTTCGACTTTTTCTCTGGAAAACTGAAATGAATTCCTTTGGAAATTAAAGTCCTCGTTGCTTTACAAACATCATTTCATTATGCAGGAGATCTTTACTCACAAACATTCATATCACACAATGTCAGAAACACGACAAGGAGAGAAGGCATGGGGCTGTGGTCAACCCACAAAAGACAGGCTTTTATCCCCAGCTCTAAGAATTTCCCACAGACATTACTAACCCATCATGCCCATTCAGTGCACACAGAGTGACAAGGTTTCAAGTGGCGCTGCAGTGAGAGACTACTATGACAACGAACACAAAAGAACAGACATTTTAAAACACTAAAAATTGGCCCGGTATGGTGGCTCATGCCTGTAATCCCAACACTTCGGGAGACCAAGGCAGGTGGATCACTTGAGGTCAGGAGTTCGAAACCAGCCTGGCCATCATGGTGAAACCCTGTTTCTACATAAAAAAAAAAAAAAAAAAAAATTAGCCAGGCATAGTGGCAGGCACCTGTAATCCCAGCTACCCAGGAAGCCAAGGCAGGAGAATCGCTTGAACCTGAGAGGTGGAAGTTGCAGTGAGCCGAGATCACGCTGTTGCATTCTAGCCTGGGTGACAGAGCAAGATTCCATATCAAAAACAAACATACAAACAAACAAAAAACAAACCACTAAAAATTAAATGAAAATTAAGATTAAAAAATATTAAAAATAAAAAATAACAGAAAAAAATTAACTGAAAATTCGAAATGCATATGTGATGAAATGTTAGGCAGGAAGAATCAGCAGGAGGGACAACCGCCAAAAATGAAAGCTGCAAAAAGTAATTTTTTCTGTCTATTCAACCCACAATCATCACAGGCTATATTTGAAAAGTAGGTAGGTGTACTTACCTACATATAGCTGTTTGTAGGTTATATTTGAAAAGTAGGTAAGGTGTACTTACCTACATATAACTGCACTTACATACAGTTATACATATACCTACATCTAATGTAGTTATGGTTTTTTAAGAGAGTAAAGAATAAAATGGAAGACTACCATTACTGACAGTCTTCTAAAAGGCAGTCACCATAGCATGATTAATTTATTCCTGGTGTTCTCTTGGTCCTCACATACTTGATTCTCTTGAAACCAGTGAAAAACTCGCATGTCTTACTGCTAGATCTAGAAAAGTGGTTCTCGGCCGGGCGCGGTGGCTCATGCCTGTAATCCCAGCAGTCTGGGAGGCCGAGGCGGGTGGATCATGAGGTTAGGAGTTCAAGACAAGCCTGGCCAACACAGTGAAACACTGTCTCTACCAAAAATATAAAAATTCGCTGGGCAGGGTGGTGTGTGCCTGTAGTCCCAGCTACTGAGGAGGCTGAGGCAGGAGAATTCCTTGAACCCAGGAGGTGGAGGTTGCAGTGAGCCGAGATCATGCCACTGCACTCCAGCTTGGGCAACAGAGTGAGACTTCATCTCAAAAAAAAAAAAAAAAGAAAAAAAAAAAGAAAAAGAAAAGTGGTTCTCACAATGCACACCTTGCACCAGAACCACCTGGAGAACTTTGTAAAAATGCAGCTGCTTGCTCACCACCCCCAGAACCTCTTTCTGCGATGATCAGGGTGGGGTTTTGGGCACTGATATTTGTAAGATCTGCATCAAGTGATTCTAACATGCTGCCAGTTAAGAAACACTGGTTAACAAGGAGACACATATGAAACCTCATATATCAGACATCTAACCTACCCTTATTTCTTTTATTCTCAAATCTCCATCTCAGCTTTCTTCTTCATTTAGAATTTGGATATAAACCGTAACTATTAAAATTGACTGAATATATCTAAAAATCATTGATTCATTTACTTATTGCACACATACATAATCCACCATTCATCTGATGAGATCACAGCATTTAGAAGAGTACTCCAAACACAGGCTGCTAAATCCTCATCTGTTGATTGGGTCTTTAAAACATTACTATTGTTCACTTTCATACTGACAACAATGTTATGCTATAGGGTAAGCTCAAATTTAATTTTCTTTCTTTACGCTGTTCTTTATTGTATTTTTTCCATTAAAATAATATTTGACAGATAATCCTTATACCTGTTGCTTCAAATAATAAAAATAACCTAACTTATTTTATGAGACTAATATCTTGTTACCCAACTGGATAAGAACAATGTAAGAAAAGAAAATTACAGGCCAATTTTACATAAGGCTATAGATATAAAAATCCTTCGTAAATATTATCTAACATAAGAAAGTGTACAGTTAAAAAAGCAGAATCAAGCAGGGTTCATCCCAAGGATTTAAGAATAGTTTAACATCAGAAAATCTATGTATGTAGTTCATCAGGTTAACAGACTAGAGGAGAAACTTTTCATGCTACTTAGATGCTAGGAAAGCATGAGTCCAAGCACAGGGTCTCTGTCTCTCTGCCTCAATAATTCTCCAGATTACGATCAAAGATCTGCTAGGTGCGGTGGCTCACGCCTGTAAACCCAGCACTTTGGGAGGCCGAGGTGGGCAGATCACCTGAGGTCAGGAGTTCAAGACCAGCCTGGTCAACACGGTGAAACCCAGTCTCTACTAAAAATACAAAAATTAGCCAGGCATGAGGGCGGGCACCTGTAATCCCAGCTGCTCGGGAAGCTGAGGCAGGAGAATCATTTGAACCCGGGAGGCGGAGGTTGCAGCGAGCCGAGATTGCGCCACTGCACTCCAGCCTGGTCAATGAGAGTGAAATGCCATCTCAAAATAAATAAATAAATAAATAAATAAGATTGAAAATGAACTGCTTCTTCTACAGAGCTTCTGTAGGATGAAAAAAAGGCGCTGATATATGCTTTCTGTAATTTGACTCAATGGGTTTTTGAATCCTTCATATAAATTTATAACATCATATTTCATTTATTAGAAGGTACATATACTGTTTTTTTAGTAGCACATTTTTACCATAAATGGTGACTGTAATCGATAAAACAGAGTATTCAATATATTTCTACAAATGTGTATTCCCTTCTCCCCAGAGAACATCATAGTATAAGGTGATCTCCAGTTTTCTTCTGATTCTATGATTTAAAAATCATCCCTGTTCTGAAGCTCTTAAGTATTTTGTTTCTTTTAGGTGCATTGGAACACCAAAATCACTCATCTGTTTCTTTATTCTTGCTTCCCGCTACTCAAGAACATAAAATAAAAGCTCTCAAGTACTAAAATACTGGGCTTTATATAAACTAGAGTTTATATAAATACTGAAAAATATTTCTTCCTAGAGGTCAGACTGTCTTCAGGGTCATGGCTAACATAAGCATTTGCTTAGATAAAAAGTTGACATTTTTTTCTGTAAAGAATCAGAGAGTAGTCCTGGCACAGTACTTTGGGAGGCTGAGGCAGGTGGATCACCTGAGGTCAGGAGTTCAAGACCAGCCTGGCCAACGTGGTAAAACCCCATCTCTACAAAAATACAAAAATTAGCTGGGCATGATGGTGGGTGCCTGTAATCCCAGCTACTCGGGAGGCTGAGGCAGGTGAATCGCTTGAGCCCGGGAGGCAGAAGTTGCAGTGAGCCAAGATCGAACCACGGAACTCCAGCCTGGGCGACAGAGTGAGACTCCGCCTCAAAAAATAAGAAGAATCAGAGAGTAAGTGTTTTGGCTTTGTAAACCATACATCCTCTATCAGAACGGCTCAACTCTACCACTGCGGTGTGAAAGCAGCCACAGACAATGCATATGAGTAGGGTTGCATTTCAATACAACTTTACTTACAAAACAGGTGGTGGGCTGCATTTGGTGCATGGATCCTAGTTTGCTGACACCTGGCTTAGATGCAGTGCACCCACTGAGGAACAGGTGTGTCCTACTCTGAAAGCAGCATGAGCTAGTCTGACTACTTATTTCAAATCAATACTATATTTTTTAAATGGCCCACATTTTCAATCTAGCAAATCTACATTGGGGTATGTGTATGGGTGTGCCCATATGTCTGTATCTGTTAAATGTATCAGTTTGCTTTTAAAATGTTGAGACACAGCTCACATAAGCAGAATATCAGTTCAAAGCAGTTCTGGCCAACTCAGTTTAAAAAATAACAACATTGGTGTGTTACTAATACTACCATTTCTATACGTAGCATGATTTCTCCTCTCTGGTTTAATAACAGTCATCCAAGTGTGACTTCAAGTAATGATCACTTCCAGTGAGCTCGAGTTTACTGCTAAGGTGTGAGGTTGGAAAGAGGAAGACACAACTTCATGGAGATCAAATCACTCATGACCTTAACAGCCAAATAAGTATTAAATGGCTGCAAGGTAACAGGTAGGCAAGGTTTGTTGTAGCATCCAATTATCACGTTGGTGCAAAGACACTCAGTAGACAACAAGTATCTAATGGCCAAGGAGCTGAAACTTATGAATTGGCTGTTTAAAAAATATATTTGCCATAATTCCTTCTCACACCTAAGTTTCCCAAAAGGAATGCATAAAGCAGGTACTAATAATGGAACAAAAATAATAAAGTGCTTGCCAGGGTAGTTGATTCCTTTTGAAAACTGATCACAAGTAAGAGATTTTAGTTACAGCTTTCTTTTGCTTCAATGATTTGCTAAGAATCCATAAGGATAACCTATTCAGATACTATTATCACATGAGACATGATATGTGAAGCAAAAACTGTTACGGGAATTTCTGCTTGCATGTACACTGGCTGTTAGGTTACAGAATAGAAATAGGATTCCTCTGCATATTTAACATTGGTTCTCCATTTGTAGCCGGACAACCAGATAGTACTGATTTCAAAGTCACTGTTAAAAACTCTAAAAACTTAGATTTCGGTAACATGTCATCACATTGCACGAAAACTGGACCTGCCACTAGGCTTGGAGAAGCTCTGATGTGCTATAAACAGCCCTAACCATCAAGATGGTAAAGGCTAGTGTGACCCAGAGACTTCTGCTCTCTGAATACCCACCCCCACCTTCACCTATTCCCTTTATAAATGCTAACAGAGCCCGGGAACTTTCTGTTCCAGAGTGAGCCTGCAACAGCATTCTCTTGGGTGAAATGCTCTTCCCGTTGGCGGTGAGAATCCTTCCTCCTTATTCTAACCCATGCTCCCCACAGAGGAGGAGGAACCCTGAGCTTCTCTTAGGGACCATGGCAGAGGGTTGGAGGCATGGAGGCAGCTCTGCATGGCCTTTTAATGCTTAGTATGCTCAGGGTGCCGCCTTTCAATTAACTAGCACAGCTGTACTTTTTTTTTTTTTTTTTTTTGAGACAGAGGCTCGCTCTTGTTGCCTAGGCTGGAGCACAGTGGCGTGATCTTGGCTCACTGCAACCTCCGTCTCCTGGGTTCAAGCGATTCTCCTATTCTCCTGCCTCGGCCTCCCGAGTAGCTGGGATTACAGGTGCCCACCAACATACCCAGCTAATTTTTGTATTTTTATTAGAGATGGGGTTTCACCATGTTGGCCAGGCTGGTCTCGAACTCCTGACCTCAAGTGATCCACCACCTCGGCCTTCCAAAGTGCTGGGATTACAGGCATAAGCCACCACACAAGGCCACAGCGATACTTTTTGACTAAGTAAGGCTTCCGTAAGAGTTTTCACACACATGCCCCAAATCCTGGATTATATGAGACAAAAATAAATAGGCCACGTGTGCTAATTGCGTACCTCTCTCTTCTCACATTTCGGTTTTCTAGAAATGAGAACGCAGGCCAGACGCGGTGACTGACGCCTGTAATCCCAGCACTTTGGGAGGCCAAGGCGGGTGGATCACAAGGTCAGGAGATCGAGACCATCCTGGCCAACATGCTGAAACTCCATCTCTACTAAAAATACAAAAATAAGCTGGGCATGGTGGCGCATGCCTGTATGCCTGTAATCTCAGCTACTCGGGAGGATGTGGCAGAAGAATTGCTTGAATCAGGGAGTTGGAGGTTTCAGTGAGTTGAGATCATGCCAGTGTACTCCAGCCTGGGTGACAGAGTGAGACTCTCTCTCAAAAAAAAAAAAAAAAAAAGAGAAAGAGCATTTCTTGTATGTCTTGTGACAAGAGTTAACAAAAACAGTCCTGCTTCTTAACTGTTGGTGACATTTGTAAAGGTCCCATGGTTATGCTTATTCAGTGGGATTCCGTCTTCTTGCATGTCTAATGGTGTTAGAAGGCCTGAAACTATGCCTAAAACTATGGTTTTATCCCAGAGAGAAAAATAAATTCATATCAAGAAAAATACTAAGATTTATATATAAAGCAACAATAATGGCAATAATAATTCTATGGTGTAATTCCCCTGAGAAAAACTGAACGGAACAATGGTTAATCTTAAAATATTCTACAGTAGAGCTCAGGACTTAGTATAATTGCCTGCTACTAGTCTCGTGATAACAGTCGAAGCTAGTTTTGTGGAGGGTTTTTTTGACACTTCAAAATTATCATGTTGTCTTCAAGGTCACAAATCAAAGTCTCATCTATTAGTGTATAATAGTAAGTTTACAGTTTTAAAATATTTTATCATTAAGAAAATATTAACTGCAAATTTAAAAAAAGTACTAAGTGGAAGTAAGCGAAAAGACAGATATTGTGATGAAAAGAAAGACCTTCTTTCCCTGCCTTTTTGAGTGTATTGATTCATTCATTTAACTGATACTTGTTGAGTGTCTCCTTTGTTGTGGTCCTTCTGTGAAGCACCTCCATTCAACAGACCCTTTCTTTGGGTAAGTGTGTATAAGTTTCAACAAGGGAAATCCATGTATGCATGCAATTGTAGAGACTAGGACACTTGGTGATAAAGGACTTGAAAAGGAAATTAATATCCCACTTAAATCTTCTTTTTCAACATCAGATTTTACAATATTTGCGATCTCGCACTCACTTTTTCTAAAACAACTCATTGGACACCGTTGCCTCATCACAGCCCTAAAACAGAACTCCCTCTTTCGGTCAGTAACACCATCATCTTCCTAGTTTTAAAACCTTGGAGTCTGTTTTTTTTCTTGTAAATTTGTTGAAGTTCCTTGTAGATTCTGGATATTAGACTTTTGTCAGGTGGGTAGATTGCAAAAATTATCTCCCATTCTGTAGGTTGCCTGTTCACTCTGATTATAGTTTCTTGTGCTGTGCAGAAGCTCTTTAGTTCAACCCCATCAAAAGAGGACAAAGGATATGAAGAGACACTTCTCAAAAGAAGACATTTATGTGACCAACAAACGTATAAACAAAAGCTCATCATCACTGGTCATTAGAGAAATGCAAATCAAAACCACAATGAGATACCATCTTACACCAGTCAGAATGGCGATTATTAAAAAGTCAGGAAACAACAGATGCTGGCAAAGCTGTGGAGAAAAAGGAATGCTCTTACACTGTTGGTGGGAGTGTAAATTAGTTCAGCCATTGTGGAAGACAGTGTGGCGATTCCTCAATCATCTAGAACCAGAAATACCATTTGACCTGGTAATCCCATTACTGGGTATATGCCCAAAGGATTATAAATCATTCTACTATAAAGACACATGCACACGTACGTTTATTGCAGCAGTATTTACAATAGCAAAGAACCATCCCAAATGCCCATCAATGATAGACTGGTTAAAGAAAATGTGGCACATATACACCATGGAATACTATGCAGCCATAAAAAAGGATGAGTTTGTGTCCTTTGCAGGGACATGGATGAAACTGGAAAGCCATCATTCTCAGCAAACTAACACAGGAACAGAAAACCAAACAATGCATGTTCTCACTCATAAATGGGAGTTGAACAATGAGAACACATGGACACAGGGAGGGGAACTTCACACACCAGGGCCTGTTGGGCAATGGGGGGTAAAGGCAGGGAGAGCATTAGAACAAATACGTAATGCATGTGGGGCTTATAACCTAGATGATGGGTTGAGGGGTGCAGCAAACCACCATGGCAAATGTATACCTATGTAACAAACCTGCACGTTCTGCACATGTATCCCAGAACTTAAAAGTAAAATTTTTTTAAAAAGTATAAACATTCAAAAAAAAAAAAAAAAACCTTAGAGTCGTCAGTTGCACCCCTTTTTCTTCTCCCTCATATGCAGATAATCCCCAAATCCTACCAACTGTCCCTTGAAATGTCTCACAATCTGTTTTTTCCATTCAACTAAGATATAAATGTGAGGTATCTTTCAAAAACCTGATAGTAATTGAAAAATATTCTAAGAACTTCCACTTGAGCTGATATTGAAGCTGGGTGACTAGATTTGTTTCCTGTCACTTCCTCAACTAATGATCACAAACTTGCTGCCTTAATATAACAGAAATTTATCTCCTATCAAGGGGAGGCCAGAAGTCTAACACGACTGTGCTTGCTCTGAAGAGTCTATGGGAGAATATATTCTTTGCCTCTTTCAGTTTCTGGTGGCTGCCCTGGCATTCCTGGATTTGGGCCACATCACTGCAATCTTTGCCTCTGTCTTCATATCTTCTCTTCTAAGGACATTTGTTATTGGATTTAGGGCCCACCCAGATAATCCAGGATGACTGACTCAAATCAAGAGCCTTAATTTATCTGCAAAGACGCTTTTTCCACATATGGTCATATTCACAGGTTCCAAGGATGCAGACACATGATTTTGGAAGCCACTATTCAACCCACTACAGTGAATTAGTTCCTCCCTTTCCCTGAAATGAATGCACAAGTCTCCTAGCCTTTTTTGAGTCAGGCTTGTCGGGGATTACTCGAATAGGAAATTCCCTAAATTGTTCTAGCCTTGGCAACTCTAAGTGGGAGCAGAGAGAGTAAGGCTGGTGGTGAAAGCAGTTTTCCTTCCTACTGCAACTTTATTCACCTCTGCATTGGCTGAGCTTAACATAATGGAAGGTTAAATACAGAAATAAATGAATGAATAAGTGAATAGGCACAGGAATGAAGGAGTAATTAATGAATGGACTAAAGACCAAAGGGATCTCAAGAGTATAAATTCCCATGAGCTCCCCTACTGTGACCCCAGCCTGGAGTAACGGGGTAAAAAAAAAAGATTCCTTTTGGTCTACTGAGCCTGTGGAAGAGAGAGGAATGAACCACCATGGCTGTGAGGTCCAGCTACAAATGGGAGGTTTGTCCCTTAGAATCAAAGGCTGGTGGCAGCTTCCCTTCCATTCAGAGGCGAGAAGGAGTCCAAGCCATTCAGAGGTAAGAAGGAGTCCAAGTCACACAGAAGCAACGAAGACCCGTCTATCTCTGAAGTGGTCAGAAGTAAAAGCTATTTCCTGTTTGGTTTGTTTTTTTAAGAGAAAGACTATGATGTCAGAGGTACAAGACACCATGATCATATTGCAACAGTCCTAAGATGGTGACACATGTCAGACAATCAGATCTTCTCAAATTCTTAAAATTATTATCCAGGATGAACTGATTTTCACCTAAACATAAAGATCAAGAAGAATCAAGCTGCTTTTGTGTTCATATGAACAACAAAATGTCTCAAAATAAGCAAAACCTCAATTGAAAGAGAGGCTTGAGATTACAACGTGAAAACTGTTTCTTGCCATTATTCTGTTTTGGGATATTCTTCTCTATAATGCATTTATCACTAAAGAACATTCAATTTTTGAGACAGAAGAATAACATAAAAGATTATTCCACAAGATAAAGAAAATGCCACTTTGACACAGACCTCTCCTTTTCTGTTTGTCATTCCCTTGACTTTGTAAAAAAGGAAAACCATGTTCCTTGGATTTATTAAAAAAAAAAAGGGAAAAAACATTCTGTGTTGTTGTGTATACGTTTTTAAATTATCAATCTGCTCAGGACTGACAAACATGAAAAGAATTAATTTAATGCCAAAAAATCTGAGAAATAATTTATGTTTAACAAGTATGCCCCCTTATTCCTGTGTGTGTACTGTACAACAGTGTCCTACTCTTAAGAAAAGTGAGTTTAGAAAGATATTTGCTCATGTGGTTTTTCAAAATTGAGTATGACATTTCCTGGAAGTGATGGTGAAGGTAATCTCTGTATGACAATTAACCCAGTCATCAGCACCATACACCTGGGCAAGGGGCTCAAGAATGAAAATCTCTACACTTCCCGCCTCTACTCCAGGTGGAAAGTCACAGGGTGGGAGGGCAGGCTTGAGATCCAAGAGAAGACTTTTAACACTTTAAGGTATATAGGCATAGCTCATAGCTGTCATGGGCTTGGTTCCAGACCACCATAATAAAGGGAATACTGCAATAAAGTGAGTCCCATGAATGTTTTGGTTTCCCAGTGCATATAAAAGCCATGTTTATACTATGCCATAGTCATATTAAGTGTACAAGAGCATTATGTCTCAAAAAAGTACATACCTTAATTTAAAACTATTTTATTGCTAAAAATGCTAATGATCATCTGAGCATTCAGCAGCTTTTAATTTTTTGCTGGTAGAGGGTCTTGCCTCAACGCTGATGGCTGCTGACTGACCAGGGCAGTGGTTGCTGAAGATTGGGGTGACTATAGTGGTTCCATACAATAAAACGAAGACAAAGTTGGCCCCATCATTTGACTCCTCCTTTCATGAAAGATTTCTCTGTAGCATATGGTGCTATTTGATTATATTTTACTCACGGTAGAATTTTTTCAAAATTGGAGTCAATCCTCTCAAACCCTGCTGCTGCCTCATCAACTAAGTGTATGTAATATTCTAAATCCTTTGTTGTCATCTCAACAATGTTCACACCATCTTCACCAGGAGTAGATTCCATCTCAAGAAGCCACTTTCTTTGTTCACCCATAAGATGCGATTCCTCACCTGTTCAAGTTTGATTATGAGATTACAGCAATTCAGTCACATCTTCAGGCTCCACTTCTCATGCTATTTCTCTTGCTATTTCCACCATATCTGCAGTCACTTCCTCCACTGAAGTCTTGAAGCTCTGAAAGTCATCCATGAGGGTTGAAACCAACTTTTTCAAAGCTCCTGTTAATGTTGATATTTTGTCTTTCACCCATGAATCATGAATCGTTTTAATGACATCTAGAATGGTGAATTCTTTCCAAAAGGTGTTTTTGTTTGTTTGTTTGTTTTTGTTTTAGTTTGTTTTGTTTTTTTGAGACAGAATCTCGCACTGTTGCCTGGGCTGGAGTGCAGTGGCATGATCTCAACTCACTGCAACCTCCACGTCCCAAGTTCAAGTGATTCTCCTGCCCTAGCCTCCTGAGTAGCTGGGATTACAGTCGCCCACCACACCTGGCTAATTTTTTCGTATTTTTAGTAGAGACGGGGTTTCACTATGTTGGCCAGAGTGGTCTCAAACTCCTGACCTTGTGATCCGCCTGCCCTGGCCTCACAAAGTGCTGGGATTACAGGCGTGAACCATCGTGCCCGGCCTCCAAAAGGTTTTCAATGTATTTTGCCCAGATCCGTCAGAGGAATCACTTTGAAAATGTGTTTTTAAATTGCAATTCTTAGAAGTCAAAAAAACTTCTTGATCCATGGGCTGCAGAATGGGTGTTGTGTCAGCAGGGATGAAAACAACATTCATGTCCTTGTACATCTCCATCAGAGCGCTTGGGTGACCAGGTACATTCTCAGTGAGTAGTTATATTTTGAAAGGAACCCTTCTTTCTGAGCAGTAGTTTTCAACAATGGGCTTAAAACATTGAGTAAACCATGGTGTAAACAGATGTACTGTAATCCCGACTTTGTTGTTCCCTTTATAGAGCACAGGCAGAGTCAACGTGGCCTAATTCTTAAGGGTCTTAGGATTTTAATGGTAAATGAGCATTTGCTCCCACTTAAAGTCACCAGCTGCATTAGCCCCTAACAAGGGAGTCAGCCTATCCTTGGAAGCTTTGAAGCCAGGAATCGATTTTTTTTTATCCAACTATGAAAGTCCTAGATGGCATCTTTTTACAACAGAAGGCTGTTTCATCTGCACTGACAATCTATTGTTTAATGTAGCCAGATACATCAAACATTTAAGCTAGATCTTCTGGATAACTTGCTGCTTCACCTTGAACTTTCATACGATGTAGACGGCTTCTTTCCTTAAATCTCATGAACCAACCTCTGCTAACTTCAAACTTTTCTCATGCAACTTTCTCACCTCTCTCAGCCTTCACAGAATTGAAGAGAGTTAGGGCCTTGCTCTGGATTAGGTTTTGGCTTAAGGGAGTGTTGTGGCTGGTTTGATCTATCCAGACCAGAGTTTTTCCATATCAGCGATAAGGCTGTTTCACTTTCTTAACATTCACGTGTTCACTGGAGTAGCACTTTTAATTTCCTTCAAGAGCTTTCACTTTGCATTCACAACTTGGATAACTTATTGGAGCAAGAGGCCTAGTTTTTGGCCTATCTCAGCTTTCAACGTCTTCCTCACTAAGCTTAATCATCTCTAACTTCTGATTTGAAGTAAGATGCAATTTTCCTTTCACTTAAACACTTTGAGCCCATTGTAAGGTTATTATTAATAATTGGTCTTATTTCAATATTGTTGTATCTCTGGGATTAGGGAGGCCCAAGGGTGGGGAGAGAGATGTGGTGATGGGCGGTCACTGGAGCAGTTGGAACACACACATTTATCAAGTACGTTCACAATCTTATTTGGGCATGGTTTTTGGTACTGCAAACAATTGCAACAGTAACCTCAAAGATCACTGATCACAGGTCACCATAACAGATATAATAATAATGAAAAAGTTAAATATTGTGAAAATTACCAAAATGTTGGCCAGGCGCAGTGACTCACACCTGTAATCCCAGCACTTTGGGAGGCCAAGGCGGGTGGATCACGAGGTCAGGAGATTGAGACCATCCTGGCCAACACAGTGAAACCCTGTCTCTACTAAAAATACAAAAAATTAGCCGGGCGTGGTGGCGCATGCCTGTAGTCCCAGCTACTTGGGAGGCTGAGGCAGGAGAATGACATGAACCCGGGAGGCGGAGCTTGCAGTGAGCTGAGATCGCACCACTGCACTCTAGCCTGGGCGACAGAGTAATACTCTGTTTAAAAAAAGAAAAGAAAAGAAAAGAAAATTACCAAAATGTAACAGAGACACACAAATGAGCACAGGCTGCTGGAGAAATGGCACTGATGGAGTGGCTCAGGGCAGGGTTGCCACAAACCTTCAATCTGTAAAAATCACAATATCTGCCAAGTGCGATACGATAGACGGCAATAAAACCAGGTGTGCCTGGACAATTTTTATAGTGATTGCTGTGAGTAGGTGTGGGAGGATGTGGGGTAAGGACAGGGAGGAGCTGGTGGAAACAAACCTTTTAAAGTAGCTCAGGCTCTGGGAAAGGCCTCAGTTTGTTTTCTCTCTAGAGTTGGCTCTGGCTGAAGAGGATGGATGGGGTGATGAGGAAAGCTTAATTTAAATAGAGTCCCACCTGGACTGGGATCACTGCTGGCCTGAGTTCTCTATTAGCTGGTGACTCAAGCATAATTAGTGAGGGGCCCACATGATGAGCCTCGATTTTGATCCAGGTCTGAACCATGCATTATTTTAGTATCTGGACAAGGAATACATGTTTTTTTCATCAGTCTTTATTTTATTTGGATCTGTTCTATATTGCGAGTTGATTTTGTCTTTCCAACTGAGATTGGAAACCCTTAGAATTAACTGTTTTTTACCTTAATGTGGTATTATCATTTTTTCTGTAAAACATGTAGAAAGGGCCAGATAGTAAATAATTTAGCATGTGAGGTCCATATATTCCCTTCTGCAACTACTCAACTTCATGCTGTTGTGACAACATTTTATTTATAGGCACTGGAAATTGAATTTCATATAATTTTCATGTATCACAAAATATTATTCTTTAAACAAAGAATTGCAACCTTGTAAAAATGTAAAATACATTCTTAGCTCATGCCCTGTACAACAGCAGACTGCTGGCCACATTTAGTCAGAGGGCCTCAGTGTGCTGACCTCTCACCTTGTTTTATTCTAAATTATGGAAAAGCAGATATATAAAAACATGAAAAGATGATGATGAAAATAGAAAAAAGGTGGTAATGATGATGTCTGTTTAGATTAATTACATAAGCAGATAAATACTTGCCATAGTAAAGAGCTATTTGGCATCATAATGAGTGACACAAAAGCAAGAGAACTGGGTTTTATTCTAACTTTATCTGTCAACTATTAGCAATCATGGGAAAAATCTTTCATTTATTTATTTATTTATTTATTTATTTATTTATTTTTGAGACAGAGTCTCACTCTGTCACCCAGGCTGGAGTGCAGCGGCACAATCTTGGCTCAGTGAAACCTCCACCTCCCAGGTTCAAGCGATTCTCCTGCCTCAGCCTCCCGAGTAGCTGGGATTACAGGCATGCACCACCATGCCTGGCTAATTTTTGTATTTTTAGTAGAGACGAGGTTTCTCCATGTTGGCCATTCTGGTCTTGAACTCCTGACCTCAGGTGATCCACCACCCTCGGCCTCCCAAAGTGCTGGGATTACAGGGGTGAGCCATTGCGCCTGGCCAAATCTTTTAATTTCTTTAATCCCAATCTTTTACTTCTAAGATAATGGAAATGGATTATAATGTTTCTAAGATCATTTTCACTATTGAGATTATTCCATCCTTGTTTACAACTGCTATCTTCTCCCGTGTATAACTAGCTACCAATTTACTATTGTTTTACGTATAGTATACACAATTATAAGACGCAAGATCCTAAAATAAGAGGTGATTGTTACAATTGAAAATGAATACTTTGGGCCCGGCGCAGTGGCTCACACCTGTAATCCCAGCACTTTGGGAGGCCGAGGCTGGTGGATCACTCGAAGCTAGGAGTTCAAGACCAGCCTGGCTAACGTGGCAAAACCCCGTCTCTACTAAAAATACAAAAAAATTAGCTGGGCATGGTGGTGCATGCTTGTAATCCCAGTTACCCAGGAGGCTGAGGCAGGAGAATCACTTAAACCCAGGAGGCAGAGGTTGCAGTGAGCTGAGATCACACCACTGCACTCCAACCTAGGTGAGAGAGTGAGACTCTGTCTCTAAAACAAAACAAAACAAACAAAAGGAAATTAATACTTTGCTCTTAATTTGTCCTTAAAGCACAGGCTGTTTGTGGAGAAGCACAATCTTTAGGCCTCTTAATGATTTGTAGCATATCATCACTAAGCAGACATTTTGAAAAGGCTAAGAAAGATGAAATCAAAGTAGAATATAAATTATACATCAGATAAGTCCCATTATGAGGAGGGAAAAAAATATTTGGATGCACATGGCCTACCTCTTGCTGTCATCAAAAGCACTTGTCAGGATGAGGCCCTTGCAGCAGGTACTAGAGTTCTACTGATTTAGACTTCAATGGCTGGTGTGTTGTATTTTATAGTGTAAAATAATTACAATTACTTTAAAAATTGTTATGGTCCAGCACAGGCCCTATAAATGGCATAATAAATAGTCTATAAATAATAATGTGAACCTCACTGGAACTAAACCACATTTTCCCATTTTTCTAAAGCAGAACATGCTAAGAAATAGAAGTTATTAAAAATTAAAGGGGATAGCTGGGCGCGATGGCTTATGCCTGTTATCCCAGCACTTTGGGAGGCCGAGGCGGGTGGATCACCTGAGGTCAGGAGTTAAAGACCAGCCTGGCCAACATGACGAAACCCCATGTCTGCTAAAAGTACAAAAATCAGTTGAGCGTGGTGGCGTGCACCTGTAATCCCAGCTACTCATGAGTCTGAGGCAGGAGAATTGCTGGAACTCAGGAGGCAGTGGCTGCAGTGAGCCAAGATCACACCACTGCACTCCAGCCTGAGCGACAGAGCAAGACTCCATCTCAAATAAAAAATAAAAATAAAATAAAATAAAATAAAAGAAAGGCGATGGTCAACCCATACACATGCTTTTAAGAGCCCTGTGCTATGTTTTGAGCTGATAAATACGAGGCCAAGAAGAAATTAACCTCACAATGATTATATTTTTTAGTATAATGGTTTCTATTTAACTTGAGCATACTTAAAACGAATGCATCACCTAGAAGCCACATCACCCCGCTTCAACTCAGACTCTGCTGTTTCTGTCAAGAGAATCACATTTCTTCCACTCACAACACAAACATGCTGTCCTTGACCCACCCTCTGCGTCGTCTTAATCACCAAGCCTTGTGGATCCCTCCTTTGAAAGAGCTCTTCAGCTGTCTTCTCCCTTTTGTTTTCCTGCCAACTTATTCATTGTCTTCTTCCCAGGGCAGACCACAGTTCTGCCACATACAGGAGACCCAAAATTGTCTATGAAAGGGAGAAGTGAAGGTAGTCCTCAGATAGTTTATGTACCAGGACAAACTAGCTACATGTGGGAAGATAATCTACACAGGTTTAATTCAGCTGATGGGTTGATTTCAGAAGATTTCAGCCCATTTTATTATTTTGTTTCTTCCTTTTTTACTTAAAAAACAAACATATATTGAGCATTTATTATGTACCAACAAAACAAAATAAAATACCAATCATCTATGTATTGAGGGTAGAGGATAGAAAAGTACATTTTCTCCCATTCAAGTACTAACCAGGGCCGACCTTGCTTAGCTTCCAAGATCAGAGGAGATCAGGCACGTTCAGGGTGGTATGGTCATAGACAGAGAAGTACGTTTCCTAATATTAAGATATTGGGCTGTTCTCAGAGTGCCTACAATTGGGAAGAAAAGTGGTACAAAGAAAATGACAAAATCAGAAGCCCCCCCACAGCTCAGCACATACTCTATTACCAAATTAGTGATACGGATGTCAAGTGCTGTGGGTCATGAAGAAAAGGGGATGGCTGTGTTTCAATGTCCTTTAACTTTTCATGCACTCAGACTTGGTCTAATTCAGGCCACACAGAACAAAGCTAGCTGAATCTTGCTGTCTCCCACATTCTCAAATCAAACACACCTTACATAATTATCTCATGTTCTTCTTTTTAGAATTATGTATGCCACTGTTTCCTTTTGTTGGCATGAGTCAGAGTACATTTAACACGACTTATTTACTTCTCTACTAAAAAAAATTTTTAATGTTTCATGATCAGAAGGCTATCAATATTTTATATTAATCACTGAGTAAATATATCAGTAGAGCTATTTAAAAATCCTGCTGGCCTGTGAAGGAAAGGCAATACGAGAGAAATGATTAATTATTAACTGATAAGGATTAATTACTGACCATATATTATGTGCCAGCGACAGTGCCAACTGTTTTCATGGACCTCCTCTTCTTTAATTCTTGCAATGGACATTGGTGATAGGTAGGTCTCCTTGTTATGAAGAATGTTTTTAGAGGTAACTAGAGAACTCTGGGGAGTTAGGCTGGGAATCATGGAATAGTTCTTTTGCCTAAATGAGACATGGGGAAAAATACTGAAGAGAGATTTTCTTGGGGGATGAAATTAGAGATAGGGTAATCATCTACTCTTCAGAGTCAGAAGATAGATGCAGAAGACAGAGAAGGGGAGAGGAGAGAGGAGGAGGAGGATGAGGAGAGAGAGAGAGAAAATAAGAGAGAGAAAATAAGAATAAGAGGGAAAATAAGATAGATACTTTGTAGCAATTTAAACGTATAGAGATTATTTCTAGAGTTTTCAGTAAGCTATGAGTTTTCCTGGGAGCTGTTTTAATCATTTCTTTTTTGGAAAATACACCATCACAGAATGTTTCTTATTTTACATCATTAGACGTATGATGGTATCTCTTCCAGAGACATGGCCCCCAAAAGTCTGTGATAGAGAAAAACCATATGGTACTTTTGGTGCAGTCATTTAAGGAACATGAAGAAAGAGCCCTACTTTGTATTAATTTGGGGTCTACCTGGAAAGGCCCTTCAGAGAGAAACTTGTGTTACTATTGCCTCAGCCACCCTAAAGCCATGCACACACTTAGAACTCAGGGTGCAGTTTTTAGACATTATTCCAAATGAGGATGTTGCACTCTACTTTAAAAAGTATAATAAAAAGTGTTATATTTTACAATCCTAGACTCTACAAAGAATGATAGGATATTCTCAGGGATCGCTTTGCAGCAGAGGGAACTGGACCAGCCAGAGCCCTCTTCCTTGCAGTTGGACAGCACAAAGCTCCCTGTACACACTTTTTAAAACATAAGTTGTACATGTGAAGGTATTTGGTGGCTATCATATGAAGTTTAAGATGTGTGGCTATTTTTCCCTTCCATGGATATGGATAGGAAATCAAACATGGGTTTTAAGCATGTATTTCTCAGCTGGTGTAGTCTGTGTTCAGAATACTTAACATATCTGTGCTATAAAACTCCCGTGTATATTTGCATATGGGACACACCACAGGCACGAGGACGTGAACGGCTCCAGCATTCACTGACCGTCTTCTGTGTGCCAAACCTCAGTGGGGCACTTTAATAATCCTCTCATTTAATTTTCACAGAAACCTATAAAATAGGTATCTGAATCATTACATATTCAAATATTTCAGTGACTCTTCACTGAGCAGCGACTTTTGCCAGGTGTTCTTGCAGGGCTCACAGCAGACGCATTTCAGCCCTATTTAGCTTACATTCTAGTGGGAGAGAGAATAAATAGACAAACAAGTGCGATAAGATGCTATGGAAGGGTAAGTGCATGAGGAACTACACAGCAGGATTGGGGACAGAGAACGTCAGTGGGAGGACGCAGCAGCTGAGTGGGGGTCCTATTTTTCAGAATAAGGTCAGGAGATGTCTCCTGCACAGATTCGAAAAGGTGAGAAGATGAGCCATAAGCCATTGAGTAACTTGACTAAAATCACCCTGAGAATGCATTTATATATTTAAACAGGGCAGCATTTAATACCTCTAGGGATTATGTAGGACACTTGTATTGCTTTATCTTTCTCAAATCTTCTCCATTGCATCAAGTATCCAATCTGTTCATAAATTTGTCTTAATTAATGCCCTCATATCAGACATACCTCATAGCCAGCATCAGGCGCTCCTGTCCTCAACTCCATGTGGGCCCTGATCAACCCTGGCGCTTTGCCTCCTGTTCTGGGCTTTCCTGGTCACACAGAGGGCATTTACTGATACCCACAATGCTTAATCCATGGTCCCTCATATTAAAGCCATCTGCTGGGCTTAGCAGCAGCCAGCTCCATAAAGTGTCCTAGTTTCCCTGCTTCACTCCCCGGCCCTCCCGCCTCTGTCCTGGGACTAGGACTGTAACGGAGTAAGAGCACCTGAGCCCTCTGCCTCAGGCTCTGCTTCCTGGAGAGCCCAGGCTCTTATATTATATTTCAAAATCCCAGAGGAGAAGGAGACCTGTCTTCATTTTTCATCTCTCCCAGTGTCACAAATAGAGTTATTCTCCTGAGGGTTAACCAGAAGTTATTCCAATTTTGGGTCCAATTGTGAACTGATGGCTGTAAGACATACAGTAATGACTTTTTTTTTTTTTCCAAAAAACCTAGATGCGAGCTAGTGTGTGGCTGGTTGTCAAGCAGAAAACTGGCTGATAATAAGGGAGGGAGCTGGGAGCTTGGAACAGGGGATCGATGAAATAAATCGGCTGAAAATGCAGAATGAAATAAAGGCCCGTTCTCAATGAATCTGTGCTGAGTCCCCCAAACCTCCACTCACACCCCAGTTGCAGTCAGTGTGTGTCTCTTCCTTCGAAGCACGCGTCAGTCTCAGGGACTCCATCTCTGGAGCCTTTCCCGGGCCTGCCTCTCCCGGTCCTTCCCTGTAGAAACGGTCTCTCCTACCCCAGACACTCATTCTCGCTCCATGTTTGGAACATGCTTACTCTGAAGTTAGATATCCTGGGGCATAAGTTATACTGTGGCGTGTTTGGAAACTATGCAAGCATGAAATATACACAGTCACGAGACAGAAGAGGAGGCACGAAAAACCACCCCGACACCCAGCTTTTCCTGACGGGAACTAAATACAATGCGTATCGGACTCGAGAAATTCCGAGGAATGGAAAGGAAAATCGCCGGTAGCATCCACCGCGCATCAGACACGAGTCACACTGACAGCCAGAAAAAAATGGAAATCCCCTTCCTAGAAAGAAAAGAACTATTTTATATCCCAAACTACAAAATTAAAACAACAACAACAACAAAACAAGTCTGCCAGTTGAGGCGTTTGATTGTAGAAGGCAGGCCACTGTGATAAGCATTTGACTCTCGTCAAAAAAAATTCCTGTTTCCCTTGAAATCTTTGCCCTATTTCCCCTACTATTAACTTGGCCATAGTCACTTTCCTCTAAGCTTTCAAAATTTCCTAGAGGCTTGCGATTATTTTATATATCTAAACAATATATTTAAGACTTTTAAAAGACCTGTTTTTTGTTTATATATAAATAAAAATTATATACTATATATAAAATATATAAATATATAAAATATATAATATATATAAAAGAAATATATATTATATGTAAAATATAATATATAAAATATATATGTAAAATATAATATATAAAATATATATTATATGTAAAATATATATAAAATATATATTATATGTAAAATATAATATATAATATATATTATATGTAAAATATAATATATAATATATATTATATGTAAAATATAATATATAATATATATTATATGTAAAATATAATATATATTATATATAATATATAATATATATTATATATAATATATAATATATATTATATGTAAAATATAATATATATTATATATAATATATAATATATAATATATATTATATGTAAAATATATAATATATATTATATATTATATATTACATGTAAAATATTATATATAAAATATATATTACATGTAAAATATTATATATAAAATATATATTATATGTAAAATATTATATATAAAATATATATTATATGTAAAATATTATATATAAAATATATATTATATGTAAAATATTATATATAAAATATATATTATATGTAAAATATATTATATGTAAAATATATATTATATGTAAAATATATTATATGTAAAATATATATTATATGTAAAATATATATTATGTAAAATATATATTATATATAAAATATATATTATGTAAAATATATATTGTATGTAAAATATATATTACATATAATATGTGTAATATATAAATATATATTACATATAAAATGTATAATAAAATATATAATATATAAAATGTACAATATATATAAAATATATAATATATAAAATGTACAATATATAAAATGTACTATATATAAAATATATAATATATATAAAATATATAATATATAAAATGTATAATAAATAAAATGTATAAGATATATAAAATGTATAATATATAAAATGTATAATATATAAAATATATAAAATATATATAAAATGTAAAATATAAAATATATAATATATAATATATAATATATATTATAAAATATAAAATATAAAATATAATATAATATATTATAGGTACTTTATATATAATATATAATTTATTATATTATATACTTTATATATAATATATTATATATTATATATAAAGTATATAATATAATAAATTATATATTATATATAAAGTATATACATTATATATAAAGTATATATGATATATTATATATAAAGTATATATATTATATATAAAGTATATATTATATATAATATATATAAAAATATACAATACATATATAATATAAAATATATGTGTGTGTGTATATATGTATACATTTTTTTCTGAGACAGAGTCTCACTCTGTTTCCCAGGCTAGAGTGGAGTGGCTTGATCTCTGCTGACTGCAACCTCCTCCTCCTGGGTTCAAGTTATTCTCATGCCTCAGCCTCCCAGTAGCTGGGATTACATGTGCGAGCCATCACACCTGGCTAATTTTTGTATTTTTTGTAGAGACGGGGTTTCATCATGTTGGGCAGGCTGGTCACAACTCCTGACCCCACGTTATCTGCCTGCCTCGGCCTCCCAAAGTGCTGGGATTACAGGCGTGAGCCACTGTGCCTGGCCTGTTTATGAATATATTCTCATCAGCACCTGTCAACTGCTGAAACTATGGAAAATGGGCTAGGAGCTCTGCTCAACACTGCGGCTATGGCAATAAGAGGTATCATGGCAGTCCTCACAAATCTCCCTCTTGTTGAATGGGGATCTGATGAGAGACTAACATTTAGAAGAGGCTCTGTCCGTTTTGACACAGGAGGAACTTTTAGTATTTCACGTGGGACCCCAAGGCCACAATGGCATGGAAATGACTGTCAGCATTCACCTAACTGCTCTGAGGAAATGTGCCCGTGGTGACATAATTAGTAAAGTGAGACACAGGATCTTGACCTCGAACTCATGTCCTATGATCCTCCCCTCACTGGCATCCCACTCATAAGTACTGGGGCCATGCAGGATGTTACCAGATGTTCCATGGGTGCCGTTATGTAACCCATGACTTTGACCTTCACTCAACACTGTAGGACCTGAGACTTACATTCCCAGGTAGTGAAAGACTCTCAGAAGGCAGGAGTATCAGAGGATGTGCTGAAACCTACATATCTTCAGCCATTGCTTTTCCTGTTCATTAGCTACCAAATATAAATGGTTTAATATTTTTGTGCTGAAAGACACATATCTTATGTCATTGCTTTTCCTGTCTCATTAGTTACCAAACAAATATAAATGTTTTAACATTTTTGCTTTCTTTTAAGCCATATTGATTATTACACTGCTTCTTCTGGGTACTTAAACTATATTACTGAATATCTCCCATCATCCTTGATTTTGAGATTATTGTCTTTCCATTTTTTGTTTTTTGGATGCCAATAATTTTTTACTCATCGTTACTTTTCTGTTTTTGACACAGAGTCTTGCTATGTTGTCCAGACGGAAGTACAGTGGCACAATGACAGCTCACTGAAGCCTCGACCTTCTGGGCTTAAGCAATCCCTTCACCCCAGCCACCCAAGTAGTTGTGACTACAGGCGCATGCCGTCACACCCAGCTAATTTTTTAAATGTTTTGTAGAGACAAAGCCTCACTATGTTGCCCAGGCTGGTCTCAAACTCCTGAGCTCAAGTGATCCTTTCTCCTTCGCATTTCAAAGTGTTAGGATTACAGGCGTGAGCCACCATGCCCGGCTTTATTTTCACTTTTCTTATGAAAAAGTGTGTAGTGTCATCCAAGATTAATATATCCCTACATTAAGATCCTATTATTTTCAACATGTATGTGATTTTGAAAATATTCTTTTATTTTCTACTATTATTTTTTCTATTCTCCTATCACAGTTGGATGTTTAGAAGCCAGTATCTGTAGAATATTTTAAGTTTTATAGACTAATTGATCTCCTCAAACACTGATAAAGATCCCTCCCTCCTTCTTAAAAAATACCCACTGGAAACCATTGAAATCTTTCATATTCAATTCAAAATGTCAAGTCTATTAAAATTTAATTCTTATTGAAATATTTGATTTGCCATTTTTCAGAAGTATTCATACTTCTTGACTAGAACTGCTCATTTGCAATCTAGAGACCTATTCTGAGCATCAGGTCCTTTTGATAAAGGATATATTGACCATCACAATGGACGCAAATGATTCAATGCCTGAATCCTATATGTAGTCCCGACCTTCCCTCTTGCACAGAGACTCTTTTTCAAGCCACGTAGTTGCCTGAACCTTCATTTCTGATGCAGGTGTGCACAGTGGTAGTCATAGAGGAGGAAACTGTGAAGCAGCCCAAATCCCACTGGTGTCCCCCACTCCAGCCACGGCGGCCCCATTCCTCCTGTCTGGACCCTGCTAGGTGAGGACAGCCTCAGGCTCCTGTGAAGGGCTCATGTTCCTGACCATCCCAGAGCTCTCACCACTGCCCTCCATGGCCCCTCCAGGGAAACACCTCTCCAAATTTTGCCATTTCATGGCCTACATCATGACTATTTTAAGCAAGACTAAAGGCTGATAATGCAAATATGGAAACATATTTGCATTTTTTTTTTTTTTTTGAGACAGAGCCTCGTTGTGTCACCCAGGCTGGAGTGCAGTGGCGCGATCTCAGCTCACTGCAAGCTCAGCCTCCTGGGTTCACGCTGTTCTCCTGCCTCGGCCTCTTGAGTAACTGAGACTACAGGTGCCCGCCACCAAGCCTGGCTAATTTTTTTTTTCTTTTGTATTTTTAGTAGAGACAGGGTTACACCGTGTTAGCCAGGATGGTCTTGATCTACTGACCTCATGATCTGCCCGCCTCAGCCTCCCAAAGTGCTGGGATTACAGGCGGGAGCCACCACGCCCGGCCCATATTTGCATTTTAAAAAGAGCTTTAGTTAAGAGTGACCGAAGAGAGAATGTGAAGCCCCCTGGCAGTTGCTAGGATGGCATGTGGGGTGGACAGGCCTTGTAAGGTCCCCTAAATTCCCCCGTGTAGACAGTGACACACTCCCATATATGCAGTATGGCGCTCAATGAGGGAGTGGGTGGGCTCATTTTATGCAAAAGGGATGTGATAACAGCTAAGCCATCCCATGGCCGACACTTGGAGGTGTTCTCTTGAAGGGTGGGTCAGCCTCTTCCTCTCTGCTGGCCAGTTTCTTGTGTCAAAGAGCCATGGATTCTCTACACAGTCGGCTGGAGGGAGCTATGAAGCTAGTGGCTCGGAATGGGGAAAGAGTAAATGCTCCAAATCAAAATGAAACGTATTTGCTGATTACAACCGATGAGTTGCTCCAGTCGGCTCGATGTCAAAAGTAGAAAGAAATAAATTTTTAAAATGTAATCTTCTATTGAAGTATAATGTATATACAGAAACATTTGTAAACCATGTTTCCTGTTAATAAAATTTCAAAATGGAAACTCACTCATATAACCAGGAACTGAATCAAGAAATAAAATGCTTTAAGCGCCCCAGAAACCTTTCTTAGTGGCCCCTCCCAATCACCATCCCCTTTCATCCCAGAGCCGACCACTGTCCTGATTTTCAACACTAAGGATTTATTTTTTCTTCCTTTTGAAATCGCACAGTACGAATTATTTTGTGTTTGAATTTTCTCATGCAACACTGAGTGAGATTTACTTTATAGTAGGATCAGCTACTAATTTGCAGGGGCCATTACGAAATGAAAATGCAAGGCCATTGTTGAAAAATCAAGAATTCCAAGATAGTGACAGCAGCACATTAAACCAAGCCCAGGGTCCTTTTAGTGCAGGGCCCTCTGCAACTCAAAGGTGGCAGACCCCAAAGCCAGCCTTGTAGAGAATCCCAAAGCATGACTATACTATATTTGTCCATCTTACTACTGATGAACATATTTGTGAGATTTCCATTCTTTGGTGCTCCTACAAACATTCTTGCACCTCTTTGGTGAAGATATGGATGCATTTCTAATAGGTATATAGTTGTGAATGGAATTGAAAGGTCCTAGGCAGACAGATGTTCGGCTTTGGTAGATGCAAGCACAAATTTGTTGTATCAATTTACACTTCTACAGTCAGTCTTTGAGAGTTCCAGTGGCTCCTCATCCTTACCACCATTTCATGTCTTATCTTTTTCAGCCTAGGCAGGAATTTAAAGTGCCGATTCCTACCCTCTGCTCCAAACCTTATATCATTAGCATTTCTCTCCAGATTCTATATTTTCACAGCTCCCCAAGCGATTCTCCGTTAAGTTAGGAAGCACTGCTAATTAACTGAGCTAGGAAGCTATGAGAACATCACATGCAATGTTCTCATTGCACCAGAGTCAAATATGGGTTGAAGGACTAAGAATATTGAGCTCACACTTTTACCCTCTAGGTAAATCAGCAAATGATTACCAAGTGTATGGGAAGTGGCCAGGACAGGGACATTCTGTATGGTCATTATGACATTTCTGCCTTTTTTTTTTTTTTTTTTTTGAGATGGAGTCTTGCTCTGTTGCCCAGGCTGGGTGGAGTACAGTGGTGCAATCTTGGCTCACTGCAACCTCCGCCTTCCAGGTTCAAGCAATTCTCCTGCCTCAGTCTCCCGAGTAGCTGGGACTATAGGCGTGAGCCACCACACCAGCTAACTTTTTGTATTTTGAGTAGAGACGAGGTTTCACCGTGTTAACCAGGATGGTCTCGATCTCCTGACCTCATGATCTGCCCACCTCAGACTCCCAAAGTGCTGGGATTACATGTGTGAGCCACCATGCCCAGCCCATTATGATATTTCTATGAAATTGAAGGGAGTAGTGTCAAAGGGTTTATAAAAGAGCATTATGGACTTTTTTAATGTTAGAAACTTGATACTCTGAAAACACACTGAAACTTATCGTTATAGAGTCTTTTTCATTTTCAACCTTCTAATTTTTATTTTAGATAATCAAAGTAAAATCACACCATTTTACATAATTACAGTGTATTTTAAAGCTTTTCTTTTTTGTTTCAGATCTGTAGGACATCCACTTAGCAACAGCATGCCATTTTCTTCTATTTTCTACACTTTAGGCATATGCACATTAGAAGTAGATGAAAATGCACAGAATAAAGGAAATTCTGTCAAAATATATGGTTCCTCAGCAAAGAAGCTTGGAGTCTGATACTATGTGAAATATAAACAGTAACTTGGGGATTCAGATGTATCATATTTATGCTCTTTTCATGTTTAATTTTAGAAAAACACATTCATGGCAATGGTATATGTAGATACTGCTATTTCTAAAATATCTTATTAAAATGATAATAGACAATGAATTTCAATATTTTATATTTTCAGAGCAAAAATCATTCACAAAACAAAAATTCCTTATGCCACATGGCATATGTGTATGGTGCATGTGTTCCATGTTCGATAACATGTGCTAAGATATATAATAAAAATTTCTATTTCTGGTCATCCTCACATAATTATATTTTGAACATGCATATTTAGAGCGTAAATGTAAAGCTCTATGGCACTGAGAGATATGATCATATTTATCTTCATTTTAGGAAATGTAAGTATATGGGTAATTTATATAACCTCAGCTATCTACATCTCTGCATCGTTATTTTTCCCCCACAGTATTAGGGTATTCTTCTCCGCAAGTGGGATATGAGGGCATTACCTTATACATGTCCCCGGAAAGACAGTGCGGTCACAGCCACCCTGCCTGGGGAGGAGCACCGGCCCACGAGGTGGGGTGGGAGGTTTGGCTGCTCCTGGCTTGGTCTCCACCGGCCATGGGAAGCCAGCTTTTCCTACAAGGAGGCCCACTTATATTCCTCAAGCCCAGTGCATCATGAGAAGAACGCACTTCCTGGGCACTACCTCCCCTTCCCCTGCTTTTCATTTCCATTGAAGAGTCGGTGGTGACCCGGGAAAAGGCAAGAAACTTAATCTGTGCTTCCAAGACAGCCGGAAAGAGCAGCGGCCCTTGTTCTGAAAAAGCACCCAAGAACCCCTTTAGATTCCGCCAGCACGTTCAGGGTTATAAGGACGTGGGAGATTGTTTCCCCAACACCTGATTAGTTAACTCAAACAGTACCTCCAGAAAACTAGTTATGTGGGGTTTGCTTTTTTCAGTTTCTAAGCTTTCATAGTTAAAGACATATTTTCATGTAAAAATGAAACCTTTAAACTGCACTTGTAGAACCTACAAAGGGTAGAAAGGAGGGCCTCACCAATGCCTCTGCACATCTTCAGCCCTCTACCCCATACTCAGGGTTCCCACAGAATTCGAAGACCTTGAAACAAGTTTCCCTGGAAAACAGATGTTGGAGGGACACATGTCATCCTAATGCCCCCTGTGTGGAGACGCATCAGCAGCCAGGGAACTGCTGAAAACAGATGTGGAAGTTGGAATCCAATCCGGGTTTGCCAGGGGAGTAGGAAGTTCCGCCCTGCCACCCTTTTTCTTTGCGGGAGAGGTGGTACACAGAGTGGGAATTATGTGTAAACTACAAGCGTCGGAAAAATGAGAGGCTAATGCAAGAATATGGACCTGTCCGGTGAGTGCAGTGTGTTTCCTGAGTGGGGCTGAGTGGTTTAGGGCTGCGACCACCACAGTCCTCCTCACACACGACCAGATTCCATGAATCCCACTGCAAATATGCATTCCCTCCTGCACTCGGTAAGGGGCCAGGACAAATGGGAAGAGCGTTGCAAATACGTACAATCCCCATGGGTCTGATGGTCAGCAACTCAGAGCAATGGAAATGATACTTAATCGTCTCTAAGAAAACTGGAATTCAACAATAAGGTTACATTTCACAGACTATACACCTACAGCAACTCATTAGAGCCTCCTGACACTGGGGTGGGTGGAAAGGACTAAGCATGATTGTCCCGCTTTACAAAAACATTGGACTCAGAAAGGGCAACTGAAAACGGACAACACAGAAGTCGTGGCTCCTTTGCTCCCGATGGCAAACCCACTAGTGTCCAGAGGTTCTGGAGCATCTTCTAGGCCTTTCTCTTTTCTGATGCTGATAGGGAATGCAGTGGCCAGCTAGGACAGGCACCATGGCAGAGTGGGAAACTGAAACTGCCACCACTGCCCATCCCCCCACCTGAGTTTTAAAATTTAAAACTGTTGGTGGGCAAATGATGAACCACCCGGATAGCTAGCAGATTATTCAGAATAGCTATATAGAGCCTTGGTAATCACCTCAATTCTAGAATAGAAACAGCAAATATAAAATTAAACACAATACAAAATCCAAACAAAACATGTCCATTCCTGTGCTTTGGAACTTCAGCTCAACAGCTCACCTTGAATTATGTAAATAACAGCATCACCTGTTATTCCTGACTTCCTTTTTGTTTGTACTTTTTATTCTATTTTATTATGTTGTCATTTTCCCACAGGTGAAAGGGCATCGTTTCTGATGTCAAAGCAGTAAACACTTTGATCACAGCAACGGCATGGGGGCGGGGCGGGGGCGTGCGGTGCAAGAATCAGGCAGGTGGTGCGGCCCTCCAGGGAGGGGAGGCTGCGGCAGGCAGTGAGCCGCCTCCCCAGCCCAGGCGGCAGCTTCCCTCCGGGCCTTCCTGCAGGAAAGCAGCACTCCCACAATGAGCTCATCCTCTGACCATTCTAGTCAGCTTCTCATCAATTATCCCAGTTTTGGGGGCTCTGAGTTTGGGAGTTAAACTGCATAAAGATCAAACTCAGGCTTCTCAAGTTTCACTTACTGTGGGAGAGAGTACAGTCACTGGAGTCAAATATGTTTTAACTGTTTCCTCTCATTTCCATATCAAAGCAAAATGATGTGAAGATGGATGAAGAAGGTTGAATTAAGATACAACTCCACGGCTGGGCGCGGTGGCTCACGCTTGTAATCCCAGCACTTTGGGAGGCCGAGGTGGGTGGATCACTTGAGGTCAGGAGTTCGAGACCAGCCTGGCCAACATGGTAAAACCCCATCTCTACTAAAAAATACAAAAATTAGCTGGGTGTGGTGGCGGGTGCTTGTAATCCTAGCTACTCAGGAGGCTGAGGCATGATAATCGCTTGAATCCGGGAGGTGGAGGTTGCAGTGAGCCAAGATCATGCCACAGCACTCCAGCCTGGGCGACAAAGTGAGACTCTGACTCAAAGAAAACAAAAAACAACAACAACAACAAAAAAAAACCAAAAAAACTCCAGGTAGGTATTTTTTCTTTAAAACTTACCTTTACATATAGATAAAGATAAAGAAAGGCAGAAATAGAGGTAAGAGAGATAATAACATTTTTGTTAGAGAATAGAATTGAATAAAATAAATTTCCTAAACTTTGGTTTAATCATGTTTTAGAAAGGAAACATCTGAGGCCAGGCATGGTGGCTCATGCCTGTCATCCTAGCACTTTGGGAGGCCAAGGTGGGCACATCACTTGAGGTCAGGAGTTTGAGACTAGCCTGGCCAACATGGTGATACCCCATCTCTACTAAAAATACAAAAATTAGCCAGGCAAGGTGGTGTCTGTAATCCCAGCTACTCAGGAGGCAGAGGCTTGAGCCCAGGAGGCTGAGGTTGCAGTGAGCTGAGATAGCGCCACTGCACTCCAGCCTGGGTGACAGAGCAAGACTCTGACAAAGGGAAGGGAAGGGAAGGGAAGGTGGGGAGGGGAGGGGAGGGCAGAAACATCTGAAACACAACACTGCAGACTGGTTACCTATATCTACCTGTGAGTAGTAACTAGAAAACACAGACACAGCATGCAGCAAATCATAAAATGATTTTTTATTAATTTATTTTTATTTTTATTTTTTTTATTAAGACAGAGTCTCACTCTGTCGCCCAGGCCAGAGCGCAGTGGTGAGAACTCAGCTCGCTGCTGAAACTTCCACCCCTTGGATTCAAGCAATTTTCCTGCCTCAGCCTCCCAAGTAGCTGGGATTACAGCCGCGCGCCACCACGCCCAGCCAATTTTTGTATTTTTGGTAGAGACGGGGTTTCACTATGTCGGCCAGGCTGGTCTCAAACTCCTGACCTCAAGTGATCCGCCCATCTTGGCCTCCCAAGGTGCTGGGATTACAGGCATGAGCCACTGCGCCCAGCCTAAAATGATTTTCTTTTTGTTACTCTTGAAAATTTATGTGATTTTCTTTTTGTTACTCTTGAAAATGAAGTGGGGTGGGCGGTAAAATATAACATTAAACATAACATGAAACTAACTGTCAACTAACATGAAACTAACTAACTTACTTGGTTGGTTATTTCTGGTTGTACAGCCTTCTAGGGTTTATTTACCACGTGGACACAGTGCCCCTATATATCACTAATGTATTTTAGAGTTTCATGAAAACACACTGATGAAAGAAACAGCTCATGTTTTTATGTACATTAGCATGTTTCTAATGCAGTAAATTTTTGTGAAGATGTGTCGTGTCAACTAATTCAACCATTTAAGTAGGTCTATCAGTTTATATAGAATGAAAATGAAGTTTCAAGGCCTATGACAATACACAGCAGACCACTGCTATGAGCTGAATTTCATTTTGCAGCTTAGTTTCATTTTAAGATTCTACTATGACATATTTAGCTAGAGAAAGATATTAAATCCAACTCTTATGTATTTAATATAATTCGACTCAAGTGCTTCAGGCCTTCACCTCACTTTATGTAACCTTAAAATGATGGATATGCAACTTTTGATGTAGGGCTCTATTTTAACTGTGAGATTACGATACGAATGGTGATTCTTTTATCAAGTAATTTATTTTTAAATTCTGCTTTCTGTCATTTCTAATTTTGTTGAAATAGTAAATCCACTTAGCAGAGAGTACTCATGATTTAGCTCATAATTTGATTCAATGAAATTAGTTCTTGTACCTCTTCTGAATCTGTAGTAGTCAATGAGTCTAGACGGGTTATCCATGTGTAGATCTATATATGAAATGTACATTTATTGTCTACACAAAGGGTCAGCAAACATTTTATATGAGAATCAAATAATGAATATATTTAAATTTTGCAGGTCATGAGGTCTCTGTCACAACCACCCAACTCTACCATTGCAGCAAAGAATAGCACTAGACACATAAATGAATGGGCTGACTGTGTTCCAATAAAACTTTATTTACAAAAAAAAAAAAAATGCTATCTGTAGTTTATAGACCCCTGGTCTAAACTTTTGCTATTCATGAACGTAGTTCTAGACCTACTGCATCTTCATTAACTAGAAGCTTATTATAAATGCATTTAACCATGAGAAAGCTGATTTGAAAGAAAGAAGAAAAACTAAAAAAAAAAAAAAAAAGAAATGCATATTCTCAGGCTTCACCCCGGACCTACTGAATCTGAACCTGCTTCTTCAAGATGCCCAAGGCATTCAATCTGCTTCTTCACTGCCCAGGGCATCTGAGTGAACATCAGCGTATGGGAAGTGCTAGTTTAAACCACAGTGACTGGCTTCTATCTGGGTTCACAGAGCAGATAAGGGAGGTTTCATTTGTCATTTTAGCTGTCTATTCAACAATAAGAATGTCTGGGCCGGGTGCGGTGGCTCAGCCTGTAATCCCAGCACTTTGGGAGGCCGAGGCGGGCAGATCACGAGGTCAGGAGATAGAGACCATCCTGGCTAACACAGTGAAACCCCGTCTCTACTAAAAATACAAAAAAATTAGCCAGGCGTGGTGGCGGGCCCCTGTAGTCCCAGCTGCTCGGGAGGCTGAGGCAGGAGAATGGCGTGAACCCGGGAGGCGGAGCTTGCAGTGGGCCAAGATTGCACCACTGCACTCCAGCCTGGGTGACAGAGCGAGACTCTGTCTCAAAAAAAAAAAAAAAAAAAGAATGTCTGAGCCCTCCTGTAGAACAACATTCTCTGAATTAAGTCATTGGGATATCATAAGAAAAAATGAGGATAACTGTTCATATAATTTTTAAAAATTTTGAAAATATAAACTGAAGTTAAGAATTACTGATATTCACTGTGCAGGTGGACACTGGCTCCATCATTCAGACTCTATGTCCCAAGTTTGAGGAGGGAAGAAAGGAGTTTTCATCACACAAGGAGGTGGCAATGGTACCTCCATCAATGCTAACCTGTTTCCTCTCCAAATGTGGGGATATAAAATAATGGTTTGCATTTGCAAAACTGAGTGAAATGCTCTAGGTTTAACAAATGAATCTTCTCCAAACAAGTGCTTTAAAGTATTTCCTGCAAAGAAGCTGCGAAAATAAAATGATACTAATAATATAAGCACAACTGAACAGCAAGAAAATAAGACAGCTATGCTCTAATTCATGTATATTCTATTCACATATCACATTATGTAAAAAATAAGAATTAAATTTTTAACTTAAAATGATAAATGATGTGATACACAAATAGAACATGCATGAATTCGACGAAATACAGATTTACTGATAAATCTCAATCTGATAGAATTCTTTGAGGTTTTTCATTAATAATTTCTTGAAACCATAATTAAAATCTAAGCATTGAAAACATGAAAACAAACTTCTCCAAAGTTTGTGATGTTGGCCTTGGTGCTTTAAAATCATCAAGAATATTTAATAGGCTGGGTGCAGTGGCTCACGCCTGTAATCCCAGCACTATAGGAGGCCGAGGCGGGCGGATCATCTGAGGTCAGGAGTTTGAGACCAGCCTGACCAACACAGAGAAACCCCGTCTCTACTAACAATACAAAATTAGCCAGGCATGGTGGCACGTGCCTATAATCCCAGCTACTCAGGAAGGCTGAGGCAGGAGAATCACTTGAACCCGGGAGGTGGAGGTTGCGGTGAGCCGAGATCGCGCCACTGCACTCTAGCCTGGGCAACAAGAGCGAAACTTGTTCTCAAAAATAAAATAAAATAACATAAAATAACATAAAATAAAATAAAATAATAAAATAAAAAAAAATAAAATAAAATGAATATTTAATAATAAAATTCTAGAAGTCTCTTTTGAGTTTTTCTTGTTTCATTTATTTAGTTTCTTAATCGTGAAAGAAGAAAAGCTATATACTTTAGGGAAATTTTCTCCGTATTGCAACAAAATGACTGAAATCATACAAAGAAAATACTGTGGCAATAAATTGGGATATGTTTGCTTGTCAAAAACTTCTGAAGAAAGATGTGTAGAAATTATTACTGATGAAGCAAAGAAGCAAATGTTAGAACAAATACATTCCAGGTTTGACACACGTGTCAGCTGATGGTATTTTATATATTCTCTCCCAATAATGAAGTACCTGAAAAACTTATTTTTCATAAAGCATTAAGTTGTACTGTAAGAGATGTGGTCTCAACATAGTTTCTTGCATTAAAAACTATTATTTGATGGTTGTGTTGGATTACTGTAGCACTGATGGAGTAACTATCTTGATTTGAGAAAAAGACTCAAGCTGAATGGTTACAGAGGTAGTACTGGAAGAGTATTCACTCAATGTATGACTTACAAAAAAGATGCTGAGCAAAGAAATTAAAGCCAGAAGTAAAAAGTGCTACAAGTGTTACTGATGTAGTTAATTTGATAAAAACAAACCTTCAACAATGCAGTAGGCTTTCCTCTGCTAGTTGGAATAAAATAGGGAGGGACTATAAATCCTATTTGTACCACAGAATTTCACTCCTTAATTCACAGTATAAACGTTGAAAGTACTGTGAAAGAGTTACTCATTTTTCCTTTCAGCAAGTTAGTGAAACTTTTCAAGGTCGTCATGTATGATTGTATAAGAGATGCATTCAACAATGTTAGGGGTCACCACTTATATTATTCCTAATGTATTAATACAAATATCTTTACTCTGAAAACATTTTCCAGCAGATAGCAATGTGTCTTGAAAGAAGTTTTTAAAAATTTGCATAAAAGTGCTACTTGGACTTGTGTAGAGCTTTGATATCAAATGACTGCCGGTAGAAATGCAATCTAGCAGATATTTTAGAAAAGTAACAAAAACAGTTATTTTGTCCCATTAAGGTCGATGCGATTTTTACCAGATATAGAAATATCTTTTTTATAAAAGGAAGTTGAACTCTGGAGCAAACACTTTGAAGACAGATGTTTAGAATATTTCCACTGTTTTATGAATTTGTTTTAAAAAATAATTGTGTCAGTTATGAAAATGTATATCCTCACCCTTTAAGGAGCTTGGAAATAGAAGTGCATATTCTGTTTAAAAATCTTTCAAATAAAATGTCTTAGTTTTGAACATATGGTTTAAAAATGCAATAATGGCCCACCTTCTAAAACTGCTTGACATCAATGGAGAAATTTATTAAATTTCAAGAAAAATTTGACCATTTGCCTAATTATCAGATGTGATTTGAACATTAATATCATGTTCCAGTAGGCAGTAGACAATGTGTCCTTCCATTTGGGGGTATTATTTTTGCTCATTAACTCCCTCCAATATCAGCATATGACAGCTGAATGTCAGCGCTTACCTTCTACCCATTCATGTTAACAGCTTCTGCAGCCCTCCTAGCTAGCATCGAGGTCATTTTCTTACTTTCCAACACTTCTGTTGTAATGCGGTACAACCTCAATGTTCTCACAACACATTCATTCATCCAAACTGGCCTCAATCTTTTTCTCCTCACACCATACGGTCTTGCCATCCTCTCAACTTTGCCCACCTCTCCTGGGGTTGCACCATGTACCAGTAGTTTTCAATCTCTGGGAGTTGCTCTTGCATCCAAAACCAACTGAATTAGCCTTTCTAGGAGTGGGGCATGGGGAACTATATTTACATTTTTTCCGGTTGATTTTCACACATTGTGACAGTTGAGAACCACTGGTGTAGGCCTGTCATTATCAATAACTGCCCATAATCTTCATAATCCTCCAGCATCCTTTGATCATCACTTCATACCCTCAGCTCAATCCCTTTAGTAACCCCACTTGAATAATTTTTCAACTCTACTAGAACCTTCAATCCATTAACCCTCCTAACTTTTCATTATTCATTACTCCCTCCTGTCCTTAGCTCCCTCCTTGCCCAGCTTAGACTTCATGCTTCCTCAATCCCATTGCTGGATTTCTTTTTTAGAGTACTTACTGACAAAGTCTCTCCCAAACATGGGAAAATAAAGTTCATTACCCTATTCTGTGCCTGCCTCAAGAAGCTGA